>NC_000001.11:179245193-179548223 GCF_000001405.40 Homo sapiens | reverse complement strand
CAATAAATGACAGCCATGAGGCTGCATCCAAATAAGAGCCTGCTGGCCCCTCCACATGTTGCCTCCATGTGTGAAAGGCAGCCCCGATGGCCAGTAGTGCCTGCTCCCAGGGTGGTTGTTCTAGGACAGAACCAGCTTTAAAACTTGCACATATGGTCTCCTGTTTTTGATTCCCACCATGATATAACAAGCATTTGTTTCAAAGTGCACAGCTGTTCGGGATCATAGTAGAGCAAAAACAGGACAGAAAAGTTTTTCCTCTTGGTGGGCAATAGTTACAGCCAAAACTCAGACAATCCCCCTTTCTTTCTTTCTTGCCTGGGTTTGACTGTTTGGATGGCCAGAGTGGAAAATGAGAGCTGAATTACCAGTAGTACCTTGTGAACTCCAGGATCTGTCAGACTTCTGGGTAGGGGGTAGGGATGGGGACAGTTTGCCTTCTAAAAATCAGTTTGCCTTGGCAAGACAGATCATGGAAACTCTTAATCTTCAGACTTTCAAAAGTGTTTCTCAAGCTGGCCTAGAGGTAGCCTAAAGTATAACTCTGCCAGGTCAGGTGCTCGTGGGACCCAAACCTGGCAAATACCAGAGGATGCCCTCCAAACCGACAGAAGCCACTGCAGTCTTGCAGGTGCCCTTTCATTGGACATTTAAGAATAGAAGCATTGTCCTGGCAGAATGGCACATTGCTGTATAATGGGACTGCTTAGGGCACTTCTGGAAGGCTGCCTTACACGTTCTTTGCTGCACCATTTTAGACAAGCTGCACTTCTCAAAAACCTGCACTCTGCATAGTTCATCTTTGAGGTCAGAGGGATTAGTAGGCTTGCTTAGCAATCCTGAATGGGAGCTTGCCTTGAGGCTGTGGCAGACCTGGCTAGAATGAGCTCTACATTTTTCTGAGGCAGTGATGGAAATCCTGATGAACCCTAGACACAGCTTCATATCAATATAGCTACAGAATGCCTCAGCCTCAGGCTCACCTAGCAAGCACTGCAGTTTTGCAGGTATGCAGGGCCTACGCAGCAGGGCTACAGCAGTTTTATTCCTAATTTTAGAGAAACTCCTCTGCTTCCTCTGGGGAAATACTTGCTGGTAGATGGATACTTATTTGATTTCAGGAATACCCAGACAGTGATCTAGAGCTTTGGGGCCTGCAAGCAGAATTTCCAGCAGGCTTTAAAAGTGAAATGCAAGATATGTTTCCCAAGTAGTATCTGGGTCATTGACCTCCAGCTAGGAAAGGCCAAGGACAAGAGGAAAGTGCAGTCACTGAATGCTACAAGGTAGCAGACAAGTGACCTGACCATAGTCAAGTCAGTGAGACCAATTGTGAGAGTGGGACCAGATCTCTCAGGGGAGAATCTCCTGGAGCCCACGCGCACTGAGTTGCTGTAGGTATGTGGTGAAGAGCCAGGCCTGGTGGTTGAGGGGGACTGTCCACTAAGCTTTCTAAGATCCTTAAGTACACTATGGTATGCACTCCCAAAACAGTACCAACTCGGCACTACAGGACATGGAACCTGTCGCCACTGAGATTGGGGGCTGGGACACAGAGGAGTATGATGAGGCTAACCAGTTTCCTCTCTCTGAAGGGCCAGAGCAGCTTTCTAGAAAAATGGACAGCATGGCTCGGTCTGGACATCTAAGTACAGAATGGCTAGTCTCCCATATGCAAGCACAACAGCCTCACTCGGCAGCCTGACTGCCAGTGATGAGCAGCAGAAGTTCCTCCCTCCACTCTGCTTGGGAGACCACTTCAGGGACACCCTGAGAAGGTGTGGCAGGGTCTCAAGGACTATTTAAACCTTCCCACAAAGCAGTTACTTGGGAGAGTGGAACTGGCCAGGCTAACTTGCAGAGAGCAGCAGTGCAGGTGCCCTCCCTGGGGCATACTTTTTTTTTTTTTTTTTAACCACCTAACACTCATTATGTCTTCCTAACCCCACCCTGATTTCCTTTCCCCATAGTGTGTCCCATCTTAGTGGAAGAGCACCGCAAGGCGTCCTTCCTTCACTTTAAGGAAGCCAGAGAGACCTGTGAAGTCTTCTCAACATCCCTGGTTCATCCATAGGGAGGTTTGTGACCACAGGGTAGCTTTTCTCTCTCTTGGGACTTTGAGACTTTGGCAGAATAATGTAAGGATGAAATAAATGATTGGTGTTTGTTTGGTGGTAGCACTGGAACAGATGGTGAGGAACTATTGTGCCTGATCTAAAGCTAGCTGGTTCCTGTCTGTTCCCAGCCTAGTTCTTCAAAACTTCCCTTCAAATCCTTGAACCCCCCAGCATCCTTTCAATACATTATCTTTTTTCATGGGCTTGCAAGAGTAGGTGCTTGTAACAAAACCACCTCAGCTAATGTGGGTCCATGATGCCAATCACCTCATTCTAATTGTAGTGGCAGCAGATATAACTCTGGAATTTAGAGACTAAGCCTTCTACGCAATGGAGCTGACATGGTATTTGGCACATTCTAAGGGACAAGGCTCATGTTCAGGGATGGGGCCTACTGATTTGTATGGAAATGACAACTCATGCCTGCAAAGTGGAAAATCAATAAAAATTATTCTGCAACCCCACAAAAAGTCCCCAAATTTTCTAGAGCTATCCAGGAATTTCTCTGGGAAGGAGCAAAGATAAGGCTGGCTCTGTTCCGTCAGGCAGCAGCTGTAATTATGAGCCAACAGCTTCAGCTCGTCTGTCATTTGGGCCAGGAGCACTGCCAAGTTTCTGAAGAATTTCATGTTTTCTTTTCGCAGAGGTAAAGAGTGGAACTGACCAGACTCCATCTAGTAGTCTTAGGTATATACTAAGGAATGTTGAAACCCATCCCTCACACAGTTTAATGATGGCCAATGACAGGCCTGGCCAGGGTTGGCTTAAATAAAGATGGGGACTCTAGAGTTGGGATTTCTGAGGCTAGAAGAACAGGTAAAGGTCTAAAATTCTAGGAGATAAACCCAAAGAAACACCAAATATGTGGAATCAATGCAGGTGTAGAAATCTTGCCACAGGTGTTCAGAGATAAGAGCAAAGGCAAGTGAGCCAGGAGCAGTGAGGCAGCAGGGAGCCCTTGCTGAGTGACTGCCCAGAACATCCAGTTGTCACTTGCAACTGATTTTTGCAGGTTAGTCCATCTCTTGTGCCTAGATGGATTCAGGGTCATGAACAGAGCAGACAAATGAGACAGTAAAAGCAAGAAATAGAGATTCTGGGTGAATCTTCAGCAACACAGGCCCCTATGAAGGAAACCATCTGAACAATGGCCTGGTGGCCCTTCACTATTGTGAAACAGTCTAGACATGAGTCCAGTGAGCTGGGGGCTCTGACACCAATCAGCTCTGTGACCGTGTCTTATAATCACTGGGCCTCAGTTTTACCTTCTGAGAATATCTCCTCCACCTACTTTGCAGGGTTATTGCAAAGATCAGATAAATTATAAAAATGTCAGAAATCATAAGAAATCCGAAAATGCTGCAGAAACCTAACAGCATCGTCAAGATTTTCTCTCTTCTCTCTTTTTTTCTTTTTCTTTTTTTTTTTTTTTTGAGATGGAGTCTTGCTCTGTTGCCCAGGTTGGAGTGCAGTGGCGCGATCTGAGCTCACTGCAACCTCCACCTCCTGGGTTCAAACGATTCTCATGCCTCAGCCTCCTGAGTAAGCTGGGACTACAAGTGCGCACCACCATGCCTGGCTAATTTTTGTGTTTTAGTAGAGACGGGGTTTTGCCACGTTGGCGAGTCTGGTCTCGAATTCTTCACCTCAAGTGATCCTCCCACCTTGGCCTCCCAAAGTGCTGCGATTACAGGCGTGAACCACCGTGCCCAGCCTAGATCTTCTCTTTTAAATTGAAAAACTAATGTTTTTTTATTTGCCAGTCTTGTCTGCAGAGTTCAAAGTTTTCAAAAAGCATTATTTTCTCGAGAGAAACTGACATTTCACAGACCTCTGTTAGGAAATCAATTGAAGAGGCTAACAAACTTGCATAAGCTATTTTTAATGCGGGAAGTGAGCTAATGCACCTGACTCCCTACAGCCATCGCTGTGACTTAAAGAGAAAATGCTCTTGCGTTGTAGGTTATGGCTTTTCTAGTGGCTGTTACAAAGGGGGTCCCTCCAACTGAGCCACATCAGCTCTATAACGCAGTGATATCTGGGGTGTGTTCAGTGGATAGAGCCATTGTGAACCCCAGAGCTCTGTGGACACTACTTGGGTTTTGTTTTGTCATTGGATGTAGTCTGGATTCCAGATTTAATGTTGAGAGCACCGTCCTTGCATGGTACCTCTAAAAAGACAAAAACAGCTAGAATATTGTAGTAATAATATCTTATATTTACTAAGGGTTTTTAATTTTACAAAGCAGTTTTACATTTTTTCTGCCTGGGTAACCCTCAAGCTACAAATAAGCTATGTGCCACAAATTTGACTCTAAATTGGTTATTGGCATTCAGAATGCATTTCCCAAGTTCAAGTGTGGTCATTTAACTGTTTGAGTTCTGGGTCCTGGGGCAGGACAGAATGTGGTCAAGGAGTGAAGAAGAGAAAGAACATCTCCTCCTTCCCTCTTGTACACAACCGAAGCTTGGTGAAAAAAAATTCAAATGGAAACAGTCTTCAGAATCTTCCCTTAACCATTCCTGAGCCCTTCTGTTGTCTCCCCAACCCTTTCTTTCCAGGCTCCTGTGCACAGACCTTGATGGCCTCTGGCCATCAAGCCTGCTCCCCCCAACATGCACGTGAAAAACAGCCCCGTGACGCTGCTTCCCAATTTGAATCCTTCAGACTGGCTGCTGCCATCTCCATCTTACATGTGGTTGCCTTTGTATTACTATTTGCACTTTGTATTACTGTTAGTGTAACTTCTCCACACCCAACTGTAGACCCCACTGAGATCCAGGACTAAGCCATATTCATCTTTGCAAACTTCCCTCTTGATTCCTTTTTCAGTCACAGCTCAGAGCACAGTGATTTGCTAATTATTAAAAATACTGACATAAAAATAAAAATAAATACATCCCCTACTCTGTCCAGGTCTTCTCTTTACTCAGCATTCACAAGGCTCCTGCCGTTACCACAATATAATTTTCTATTCCTTCACTGCACAACCCTCAGGAAAAAAGTGATTTTATTGCACTAATATATATAAATATAGCAGTGCCAGATTGCTCCAGAGGTATCTGCATTTTTTTCAAGGGGTTACCTGCTAACTCTAAGGATGGATTTAACCTATGGATTTTCTGGAGACTCTGTTTAGGTCCCTTGCAGGGCACAGGGACTGCCGTGAGTAGGAGGCAGCTCTCCTGAGCTTTGCAAGGCGTCTCATCTTCCACTTCAGAGCCCCCTGGCAATGATTTTGCTGGTGGTTTTTGGAAGGAGGGGGAAGGGTGGCTGGGTGTCTGTGTAAATTACTGTTTGCAGGCTGGGGACTAACTTTATGTAGCTATTCTCTACCTTAAATAATTAAAACTTCTCAGTTCTGGATTTAACCGAATCCTCAAGACTTTCGTGGGAATGGACAAAACTAAAGTCCCACATTCCATATTGAGGTAACCTCTCTAGTTTAACAAGTAGGCTTTTTGGGTGGTTTGCTTATTTATCTTCCTAAATCTAGAAAAGGTCCAGTTTTCAAATTATCAGGATAAAAGTACATTCAGAATATAAGAAGATGAAATTTTAAAAATTCATGAAAACTCTCTCACATGCATTCAAACCTAAAACTAAGGACTGATTGTCAGACTTGTAATAAATGACATTTTCGCCAGTTCAGAGTTGAAAGGAGTAGAAAAAATGAATTCACACTCTATAGGGTTAATGTCCCTGTACCTAGGGCCAGGGGCTGCGAGCAGTTGGCTAACTTCACTGCTTTTGCTGAGGGGCAGGTGGAGATAGGACTGACAGAGAAAAACGGAAAGTAGATGTCTTTCCAGTACTATCCTTTGCACCAGGAACTGTCCTGGGAACAGACCACAGGTTGGAGATGAAAGCAAAAATAAAAAAATAGCCTCTAATATTAGAAATATTGAGAACTGCTTGTGGGCATATTGCAGCACTAATTAGAAATAAGAAAATGAACAATTAAATTCCTCTCCCTATAACATAAAGTATCTGTAAAAATCATATGAAGTCAAACACGTACCAAAAAATAAAGATAAAACTTCCTACAAACCTCTATTACCCAGAGACAATGTCTGTGAATATTTGGGCATATTTCTTTCTGGTCTTTTTTCTGCCTTTAAAAAATGATGTCATATCCTGTTTCTTGCATTTGATAGTTAACATAAAATTTCCCATGTCACTAAAAACTCCTTTAAACACCATTTTAATAGTTGTGTAATATTTATGTATATTAATACAGCATGATTTATTTAATCTTTCATGATTGAACACGTAGGTTGTTTCTATTTTTTCTATTATACACAATGATACACTGAACATCTTTGTATATTAATTTTGTGTATTTAGGATTATTAAGATTCTCACGTGTGAAATTATTATGCATATATTATCATGCATATATTATCATGCATATTATCATGCAATATTATTATGCATATTATCATGCATATATTATGCATATATTATAAATATATGCATGTTTTAAAGGGATAGCCATACATACTATCAAATTATTTTCTAAAATGGTTGTATGTGTTTGTCTACTCACAAGTATTACCTGTATAACTATTATATGCTGCTACTTCTAATCAGCATTGTGTTCTTTTATTAAAAAAAAAAAAAAAACAAAAACGGATTTTCCGGCAAGATGGCCAAATAGGAACAGCTCCAGTCTTCAGCTCCCAGTAAGATCAATGCAGAAGACGGGTGATTTCTGCATTTCCAACTGAGGTACCTGCTTCATCTCATTAGGACTGGCTGGACAGTGTGTGCAGGCCATGGAGGGAGAGCCAAAGCAGGGCAGGGCGTCGCCTCATCCAGGAAGTACAAGGAGTCAGGGTATTTCCCTTTCCTAGCCAAGGGAAGCCATGAGAGACTGTACCAGGTGCGACGGTACACTCTTGCCAAAATACTATGCTTTTCCCGTGGTCTTCGCAACCCACAGACCAGGAGATTCCCTCTGGTGCCTGGCTCAGCGGGTCCCCCACCCACGGAGCCCAGCAAGCTAAGATCCACTGGCTTGAAATTCTTGCTGCTAGGGCAGCAGTCTGAGATAGAACTGGGATGCTGGAGCTTGGTCGGGGGAAGAGCGTTCGCTATTGCTGAGGCTTGAGCAGGTGGTTTTATGCTCACAGTGTAAACAAACCCATTGAGAAGCTCAAACCAGGTGGAGCCTACTGCAGCAGTGAGGCCAACTGCCTCTCTAGATTCCACCTCTGTGGGCAGGGCATATCTAAACAAAAGGCAGCAGCCCAAGTCAGGGACTTATAGAAAAAAGCCTCATCTCCCTGGGACAGAGCACCTGAGGGAAGGGCAGTGGTGGGCACAGCTTCAGCAGACTTAAATGCCTGACAGCTCTGAAGAGAGCAGTGGTTCTCCCAGCATGGCGATCGAGCTCTGATAACAGACAGACTGCCTCCTCAAGTGGGTCCCTGACCCCCGTGTAGCCTGACTGGGAGATACCTCCCAGTTGGGGCCGACAGACACCTCATACAGGAGAGCACTGGCTGGCATCTGGCAGGTGCCCCTCTGGGACGAAGCTTCCAGAGGAAGGATTGGGCAGCAATATTTGCTGCTCTGCAGCATCCGCTGATGATACCCAGGCAAACAGGGTCTGGAGTGGACCCCCAGCAAACTCCAACAGACTTGCAGCTGAAGGACCTGTTAGAAGGAAAACTAACAAACAGAAAGGAATAGCATCAACATCAAAAAAAAGGACATCCACACCAAAACCCCATCCATAGGTCACCAACATCAAAGACAAAATGTAGATAAAACCACAAAGATGGGGAGAAACCAGCACAGAAAGGCTGAAAATTCCAAAAACCAGAATGCCTCTTATCCTCCAAAGGATCACAACTCCTCACCAGCAAGGGAACAAAACTGGATGGAGAATGAGTTTGATGAGTTAACAGAAGTAGGCTTCAGAAGGTGGGTAATAACAAACATCTCCGAGCTAAAGGAGCATGTTCTAACCCATCTCAAGGAAGCTAAAAACCTTGAAAAAAGATTAGACGAAATGGCTAACTAGAACAACCAGGGTAGAGAAGAACATAAATGACCTGACGGAGCTGAAAAACACAGCATGAGAACTTCGTGACGCATACACAATCTTCAATAGCCAATTAGATCAAGCAGAAGAAAGGATTATCAGTGATTGAAGATCAAATTAATAAAATAAAGAGAGAAGAAAAGATCAGAGAAAAAAGACTGAAAAGAAATGAACAAAGCCTCCAAGAAATATGGGACTATGTGAAAAGACCGAATCTACGTTTGATTGGCGTACCCGAAAGTGACGGGGAGAATGGAATCAAGTTAGAAAACACTCTTCAGGATATTATCCAGGAGAACTTCCCCATCCTAGCAAGGCAGGCGAATATTCAAATTCAGGAAATACAGAGAACACCACAAAGATATTCCTTGAGAAGAGCAACCCCAAGACACATATTTTCAGATTCACCAAGATTGAAATGAAGGAAAAAATATTAAGGGCAGCCAGAGAGAAAGGTTGGGTTACCCACAAAGGGAAGCACATCAGACTAACAGCAGATCTCTCAGCAGAAACCCTACAAGCCAGAAGAGAGTGGAGGCCAATATTCAACATTCTTAAAGAAAAGAATTTTCAACCCAGAATTTCATATCCAGCCAAACTAAGCTTCATAAGTGAAGGAGAAATAAAATCCTTTACAGACAAGCAAATGCTGAGAGATTTTGTTTCCACCAGGTCTGCCTTACAAGAGCTCCTGAAGGAAGCACTAAACATGGAAAGAAACAATCGGTACCAGTCACTGCAAAAACATGCCAAATTGGAAAGACCATCGACACTATGAAGAAACTGCATCAACTAATGGGCAAAATAACCAGCTAGCATCACAATGACAGGCTCAAATTCACATATAACAATATTCACCTTAAATGTAAATGGGCTAAATGCCCCAATTAAAAGATACAGACTGGCAAATTGGATAAAGAGTCAAGACCCATCAGTGTGCTGTATTCAGGAGACCCATCTCCTGTGCAAAGACACACATAGGCTCAAAATAAAGGGATGAAGGAAGATCTACCAAGCAAATGGAAAACAAAAAAAAGGGGTTGAAATCCCAGTATCTGATAAAACTGACTTTAAACCAACAAAGATCAAAAGAGACAAAGAAGGCCATTACATAATGGTAAAGGGATCAATGCAACAACAAGAGCTAACTCTCCTAAATATATATGCACCCAATACAGGAGCACCCAGATTCAGAAAGCAAGTTTTTAGAGACCTACAAAGAGACTTAGACTCCCACACAATAATAGTGGGAGACTTTAACACCCCACTGTTAATATGAGACAGATCAATGAGACAGTAAATTAACAAGGATATCCAGGACTTGAACTCAGCTCTGGACCAAGTAGACCTAATAGACACCTACAGAATTCTCCATCCCAAATCAATAGAATATACATTCTTCTCAGCACCACATCACACTTATTCTAAAATTGACCACATAATTGGAAGTAAAACACTCCTCAGCAAATATAAAAGAGCAGAAATCACAACAAACTGTCTCTCAGACCACAGTGCAATCAAATTAGAACTCAGGATTAAGAAACTCACTCAAAACCACACAACAACATGGAAACTGAACAACCTGCTCCTGAATGACTACTGGGTAAACAACAAAATGAGGGCAGAAATAAAGATATTCTTTGAAGCCAATGAGAATGAAGACACAACATACCAGAATCTCTGGGACACATTTAAAGCAGTGTGTAGAGGGAAATTTATATCACTAAATGCTCACAAGAGAAAGCAGGAAAGATCTAACATTGACACCCTAACATCACAATTAAAAGAACTAGAGAAGCAAGAGCAAACAAATTCAAAAGCTAGCAGAAGACAGAAATAACTAAGATCAGAGCAGAACTGAAGGAGACAGAGACACAAAAAACCCTTCAAAAAATCAATGAATCCAGGAGCTGGTTTCATGAAAAGATTAACAAAATAGATAGACCGCTAGCAAGACTAATAAAGAAGAAAAGAGAGAAGATTCAAATAGATGCAATAAAAAATGATAAAGGGGATATCACCGCTGATCCCACAGAAATACAAACTACCATCAGACAATACTATAAACATCTCTATGCAAATAAACTAGAAAATCTAGAAGAAATGGATAAATTCCTGGACACATACACCCTCCCAAGACTAAACCAGGAAGACGTCAAATCTCTGAATAGACCAATAACAGGTGGCAAAATTGAGCCAATAATTAATAGCCTACCAACCAAAAAAAGTCCAGGACCAGATGGATTCACAGCCAAATTCTACCAGAGGTACAAAGAGGAGCAGGTACCATTCCTTCTGAAACTATTCTGATTAATAAAAAAAAGGGAATCCTGCCTAACTTATTTTATGAGGCCAGCATCATCCTGATACCAAAATCTGGCAGAGACACAATAAAAAAAGAGAATTTTTGACCAATATCCCTGATGAACATTGATGAGAAAATCCTCAATAAAATACTGGCAAACCAAATCCAGCAGCACATCAGAAAGCTTATCTACCACAATCAAGTCGGCTTCATCCCTGGGATGCAAGGCTGGTTCAGCATATGCAAATCAATAAACGTAATCCATCAAATAAACAGAACCAATGACAAAAACCACATGATTATCTCAATAGATGCAGAAAAGGCCTTCAACAACAGCCCTTCATGCTAAAAACTCTCAATAAACTAGGTGATGATGGAACGTATCTCAAGATAATAAGAGCTATTTATGACAAACCCACAGCCAATATCATACTGGATGGGCAAAAACTGGAAGCATTCCCAGCACAAGACAAGGATGCCCTTTCTCACCACTCCTATTCGACATAGTGTTGGAAGTTCTGGCCAGGGCAATCAGGCAAGAGAAAGAAATAAAGGGTATTCATTGGAAAAGAGGAAGTCAAATTGTCTCTGTTTGCAGATGACATGATTGTATATTTAGAAAACCTCATCATCTCAGCCCAAAATCTCCTTAAGCTGATAAGCAACTTCAGTGAAGTCTCAGGATCAAAATCAATGTGTAAAAATCACAAGCATTCCATGCTATACACCAATAACAGACAAACAGCCAAATCATGAATGAACTCCCATTTATAATTGCTACAAAGAGAATAAAATACCTAGGAAAACAACTTACAAGGGATGTGAAGAACCTCCTCAAGGAGAACTACAAACCACTGCTCAATGAAATAAAAGAGGACACAAACAAATGGAAGAACATTCCATGCTCATGGATAGGAAGAATCAATATCGTGAAAATGGCCATACTGCCCAAGGTAATTTGTAGATTCAATGCTATCCCCACCAAGTTGCCACTCACTTTCTTCACAGAATTGGAAAAATCTATTTTAAATTTCATATGGAACCAAAAAAGAGTGCACAGAGCCAAGACAAGCCTAAGCAAAAAGAACAAAGCTGGAGGCATCACGCTACCTGACTTCAAACTATACTACAAGGCTACGGTAACCAAAACAGCATGGTACTGGTACCAAAACAGATATATAGACCAACGGAACAGAACAGAGGCCTCCGAAATAACACCACACATTTACAACCATCTGATCTTTGACAAACCTGACAAAAACAAGCAATGGAGAAAGGATTCCCTATTTAATAAACGGTGTTGGGAAAACTAGCCAGCCATATGCAGAAAGCTGAAACTGGATCTCTTCCTTACACCTTATACAAAAATTAACTCAAGATGGATTAAAGACTTAAATGTAAGACCTAAAACCATAAAAACCCTAGAATAAAACCTAGGCAATACCACTCAGGACATAGGCATGGGCAAAGACTTCATGACTAAAACACCAAAAGCAATAGCAACACAAGCCAAAAGAGACAAATGGGATCTAATTAAACTAAAGAGCTTCTGCACAGCAAAAGAAACTATCAGCAGACTAAACAGATTGGGAGAAAATTTTTGCAATCTATCCATCTGACAAAGGGCTAATATCCAGAATCTACAAAGAACTTCAACAAATTTACAAGAAAAAAGCAAACAACACCATCAAAAAGTGGGCAAAGGATATGAACAGACACTTCTCAAAAGAAGACATTTATGCAGCCAACAGACACATGAAAAATGCTCATTATCACTGGTCATCAAAGAATGCAAATCAAAACCACAATGAGAGGCCATCTCACACCAGTTAGAATGGCGATCATTAAAAAGTCAGGAAACAACAGATGCTGGAGAGGATGTGGAGAAATAGGAACACTTTTACACTGTTGGTGGGAGTGTAAATTAGTTCAACCATTGTGGAAGACAGTGTGGCGATTCCTCAAGGATCTAGAACTAGAATTACCATTTGACCCAGCAATCCCATTACTGGGTATATACCCAAAGGATTATAAATCATGCTACTATAAAGACACATGTACACGTATGTTTATTGCAGCACTATTCACAATAGCAAAAACTTGGAACCAACTCAAATGTCCATCAATGATAGACTGGATAAAGAAAATGTGGCACATATACACCATGGAATACTATGCAGCCATAAAAAAGGATGAGTTCATGTCCTTTGTAGGGACATGGATGAAGCTGGAAACCATCATTATCAGCAAACTATCACAAGGACAGAAAACCAAACACCGCATGTTCTCACTCATAAGTGGGAGTTGAACAATGAGAACACATGGACACAGGGAGGGGAACATCACACACTGGGGCCTGTCAGGGGGTCGGGGGCTGAGGGAGGGATAGCATTAGGAGAAATACCTGATGTAAATGATGAGTTGATGGGTGCAGCACACCAACATGGCACATGTATACCTATGTACCAAACCTGCACGTTGTACACATGTTCCCCAGAACTTAAAGTATAATAAAAAAAAGAAAAAAAAAACCTTTGCCAGTTTTGTAAATAAAAATTGTATCTGAGCTACTTTATTCATTCACAATTGTTATTCATTTGGTTTTCCTTTTTGTGAGTTGTCCGAATAAGATGGTTATGTGATTAAAATATGCACATTCCTATGAGAAGTATAAACTAGTAGATTAGCACCAAATATATTAATGTTCTTCTACAATATTTGTGGCCCAGTCAAATTTTCTTTCATAAATACAACCTGAATAAAGCAAAATACGAAGCAATCCTTACCTTTCTTTGGAGATTTTGAGGAATTTTCTGCTGACCTGACTTCTTCTTCTTCTTGTTGTTCTTCTTCTTCTTTTACTTCTCTTTCATCTTGATTTTCTTTCTCTTCTTTAGACTCCTTTCTTGATGTCATGACTAATTCCTCTAGATCTTTATTTTTTATAAGGGTATGATGAAGTTTCTCATATGCATCTTCAAACTTCTCCTCTGCCTGTCTGGCTCTATTTTCAACCTCCCTGATATGGAAGAGAAGACACAACAAAATAGAAAGGGTTGAAAAAGTATTTTTGATTTCGAAACTCATTTTCTAAAAAGGCAGTGAGATTAGATGAATGTGTCTGAAGGGTAGAAATAAGGGAAGCAACAGCATCAATGATTAACTGAGAACTGGGGGCCCAGGAGCGACTCTGAATGCTAATGTCAGAGTAGAAATCATGCTGCTATTTAAGAATATATTTATCACTTCTTAGTAAAATCTGATTTGGGGTATCTGGAATTCTCCATCAATGGCCAGGGAACTCCCTTTCAAGAGTTAATTTTGGCTTCTCTTAATTGATGTGATCCAACAAACTAAATTCAACAGAGTCACTTCTTTTCTAGCACCTCTAAAACCAAATTTTTTACAATCAAAGAAACCAGCTTGAGATGTGCTTCTTAGCTACTACAGCACGTTATATGTCTACATGGCTACGCTCTTCTCCTGGCATCCCCAGCCATCTTAACTATACCGCCCTTTCTACTCTGAGTTATGTAACATTCTTTCCCAAGCACAATAGTTTCTCCTAGTTTCATCTATTTCCCTAAGTTATCTCTTAGAAACAAACATTGAACTGGATCACTCTAACAACCCCCTCCAACACACACAAATAGTTTGACTTCCTCTATCTTTCCACTGTAGTTAAGAATGGATGTTTCCACCAGGGCAGTGTAGTTTACTGCCTCTAGCAGAACATGTGGAGATACACATCCCCCTAATGTGGATAAAGAAAGCAGGAGAGCCAAAGGGAAGCCAAAAAGTGTGAATTTCTCAGTCAAACCTTCTGGCCAGCCATTTTCATCCTCTTACCATTGTGTTGACTCATACTTACAGTAACTTCTCCTGCATATGTTCAATTACAGCCATTGCTTCAAGATATTTTTGGGCCAATGTACCTTGCTTAGCTGACTCTCTCTGACAGAGGAAATATGAGATATGAATGAACTGACAGTCTCAACAATTAGTATTCTACTTTTTTAGGATGTTCTGGATCAAACCTTCTAGAATATTCTTTGTCTACTACCCATATCTATCTAATAGATGGTTAAGCACACCCTTAATACCAAAAAAAAAAAAAAAAAAGGGATTGTCTCTGGTCAAATAGCATAGAAGCTTCCAAATTACTCGTGCTTCAGGTGAATAAGAATTTGATTTGAATTGTAAAGAAGAAGCAGGGGAAACAGTAACAACAAAAAGAAACAGAGAAATAAAAAAAGATTTAAAAAATAAGGAGAAGGATCAACATGTTTCTTTATAAGTCAAGTTAAAGATCAAGGAAGCTAACTTGTATATCTGTCTTACTAATAATTTACTTCACTAAGAATGTAACATTGCAAAATCCAATGAAGTCGTTAAATTCCTTAGGGGACTTCATAAATATCAGTTAAAGATGTAGATCTTGCCAGGCAAAGAAAATATAGAAAAAAGATAACCTCTTTAATTTATTTTGACTCTATATAAGAGGAAGGTGAGAGAGGAAATTTAGAGGACAAAAACTATAAGCATATTTTTAATTGAATATTAACATTTTCCCAGAACAATATACTTTTAAAGTCTCATTTATCCATGTCTCTCAAGCAGTGTCAGGTATAAGGTAAAGTCTACCTTATAGACGGAAGGAGAGATAGAAGAGGGTGGACAGCCTGCCACAATCACAGCATGATCCGGTGGGCTAAAGCAAGCCTGCATCTAAGCCTCTCATCCTCAATCACACATCCCATCATACCACTATACCTTTTTCTAAAAGAGAAAAGAACCTGTGTTAGTCTCTTCACTATTTATTTATTTATTTATTTATTTATTTATTTATTCTTTTTCTTTTATAGAGACTGGATCTTGCTCTGTCACCCAGGCTACAGTGCAGTGGCACAATCATAGCTCACTGTAGCCTTGACCTCACAGGCTCAAGCAATCCTCCCACCTCAGCCTCCCAAGTGGCTGGGACTACAGGTGCACACCACCATGCCCAGCCAGTTTTTAATTTTTTTAGGTAGAGATTGGGTCTTGCTATGTTGCCCAGGCTGGTCTTGAACTCTTGGCCTCAAGTGATCCTCCTGCCTCAGCCTCCCAAGTGCTGAGATTATAGGCACTGGCCACCACACTTGGCCAACTTCTTCCCTTTTATGCTAGATATTAGACTCTTATTTTCTCTGTCACATATTTTTCTCTTTCTGTTTTGTTGCTTCTTTTGGGTAACTTGTTTGGAAAGTACACACTATCATTTTTCACCCTGAACCTAAGGTATGTGGTGTGGCTGTGCCCGCCTGGCACACACTACTAACTTATTTGTTCTTTTAAAAGAAAGGGTTTCAGAGCAGAGGCTTCTAGAACTGGAATTCCACACATGGTTTACAGCCCTATGAAACAACTAAAACTATCAGTAGAATCCAAGGTAAACCAGGATTGTCCACTACTACCTGCGTGCATTTGAGCCTTCTGACTCTCTCCTCATTCTGTCAATAGATATAAATTTAGTTACGATATGCTAGGAAAACATCCCTTTCTTTTGATACTGGCAAGTACAGATTAATGTTTTGTGGTCCATTTCAAGTCCTTCAATAGGAGAGCTTCAGACCGTGGTCTGAAATGACATTTTGGACATTCCCATGGTCTGAAATGCTGGTTGTGGGGCTGCTAGCATCCTCCATGTGTGCCAGATGGCAATCCCCCATGCATCAACCATATACTGATGCAGATGCCTCAAGGCTAATTACAGTTACTGCCACAAGCCTTCTTCTCAGACTCCAAACCTTCCTCTGGCTTTTGTGCTATTTTACTCACTATATGACAGAGACAAACATGGACCATGCGGCTCTTGTAATCAATTGCATTGGACCCTCCTTGCTTGTGCCTATGTGCTGTAGCTTCCAGTTAGTCTCCGTCTGACATCAATTCTGCCTTTAGGTTTTTTAGCTTGGTCCTCCTGGGGTTTGACTCTACTAATGGGCTTTGGGTTGCATCTCTATGGCTTGGGCATGCCTCAGGGAAGATCCCACTCCAGGCTCTGCTCCTTGGGATTCAGTTCTGGACCCCTAGTTGGACTGGGTGCTCCTATCAGCTTTGGACTATTCTCTGAGTACCAATATCCCCAAATATCAATCAACCTCGTCCCCTACTAGAATAGCACAATTAGGCCCCTTCTGTTTGAGCACCTGGTGATTGAAGCCACTTTTGCAAAATTATGATGGTAAGATAAATCTGATGGGGCTGACTCCATCTTGCTTGAGTCTCACAGGCTGGCTGACTTGGCTCATTCCTGGGCATGGGCAAAGTTTAAATGATAATAGCTCTTCCCCAAAACTAAACTACTAAACTACCCTTGTAAAACTAATGAAAGGCCACCAAGTTAGGAGTATGAGAGGGACCTGAATTCAGCCATTATTCCAGAGGTCACAAGATTTGCAACTTCCCTAATTATGCCTATAAATAACATCATTATTGTAGAACCTAAGGTTGGTATTTTGAGATGTCTTTTCAAGCTTCTGACAACAGGATGGTGCCACTCTGACTCATAACTCAGGTAGTCCTGTGGCCCCCACAGGACTGTTACACCAAAACTCCAGCATCAAATCTTAGAATATGGACTCAGTGCATGAGGACCATTTTCCATACCCCATGATTGCATCCCCAACCAATAAGCAACACCCATACCCTGGCCCCCTGCCTACCAAACTATCTTGGAAAAAGCCTAACCTTTGAGCCTTCAAGAAGATCGATTTGAGTAGTAACTCCATCTCCTACGTGGTGTGGCCAGCTTCATGTCAATTAAACTCTTTCTTTACTGCAATGCTGTGGTCCCAGCTAATTGATTGTGTCTGTGCAATGGGTAGGAAGGACCCACTGGGAAGTTACATGATCCCATTCTACTTGTGCAGTACTCCAGCCACCATTCCACAGGAAGAATGTGATTCTTCTTGGCTTCCAGGAACTTGCAAGTAATTGTACATCCAGATGGCATTTTAGTTCTTTCTCCAGATTTTTTGGTTAATCAGAACCTAGACAGTTTGGTCTTTAGTGATCTGTAGTAGCAGCAGCAACTTTTCAAAAGCTTAGACTTTTGAACATGGACTTACTGGTCCATGTTCTCCTTACCTGGGCTATCCACATGGCACTGCCAGTGTCACACAGAATGGCAGTATCTGGGAGCAGTGGACCTCACACTATCAAAGACATGTGATACTCCTGAGTTTTGTCCCAGGCTGCAGGCTCCTAGTTTCCTGACTGCTTCCTGCCTGGCTCCAGGGCCTAGCCTGGACGGCATACCAGAGTTCTAACTTTAGAGAAGCAAGTCTGAGGCAGGAGGGCTTGTAGCTGGGACTGGTGGGGGTTAGCAGATAAAAAGCTTCTACCTGTTGTCTTTGTCTCCTTTTTAAAAAATTTTGGCCGGGCGTGGTGGCTCACGCCTGTAATCCCAGCACTTTGGGAGGCCGAAGCAGGCGGATCATGAGGTCAGGAGTTCAAGACCAGCCTGACCAACATAATGAAACCCCATCTCTATTAAAAGTACAAAAAATTAGCCGGGCATGGTGGTGGGCACCTGTAATCCCAGGTACTTGGGAGGCTGAGGCAGGAGAATCGCTTGAACTTGGGAGGCAGAGGTTGCAGTGAGCCGAGATTGCACCATTGCACTCCAGCCCAGGTGACAGTGCGAAGACTCTGTCTCTAAATAAATAAATCTCACGACATTGTATTCCATTCCCACTGCTCCCTCTTACATATTTGCCTCACAGTCTTAGTGACCAACATAGTGATGCATTATTTTTAAAACTTGTTGAAAGTTCTCTGATGTCTCCCAAGGCACCACTTTGGGAGAATGTGCCAAAGGAAATTAAAATATATTACCCCCCAAATATATTTATTTGACATATTTTGAAATAGCCGCTGCCTGGCCAGGAAACAAAAGTGGCCTTGCAAAGCTGTCTTTTGTGGGAAAAATTTGCATCTGTAGAGAATCTCCATTAAAGCAGTCACCGCCGCTTCCCCTTTCTATGCCTTTCCAGGACCCAGGAGAGATTGAGAGTCTGATGCCTTTCAAAGTCTGAAAAGAAACATCTTTATTCTCTCTGAGGGAGACTTCATCTACATAACAAGGCCACCTTTGCCAGCCAAGCTTCTTCCTTTTCTCTCTCTCTCAACCAGTCTTTTCACTAACCTGATTCACCAAGGTAACCTGTTTCTAGCCATACTCAGTCTGTATTCTTTACTATGGCCTCAGGATGGTATATGAGCTTCTGGATCTTCATTCTGAAGGCTCTTATGTACACATGTTAAACAAATTTATATGCCTTTTCTCCTATTAATCAATTTGCCTCACATCAGTGATTTTTCAACAAATTTGTAGGGGGCCAAGAGCCTATGGCTCCCACACCCCTAATAATGAAATGGTTCTTAACTTTAGGATGGAGAAATTTGACAAAATCTATTGATCCCCCAATCCAAGAAAATGCACAATATGAACATACACACAAAATATTACCACCACTTCAGGGAATTAGTGGGATAAAGCCCATCCATAAACTCTTAAAGTCACAGTGTTCTGTAGAGAGTAAGACACTGATCTAGAGCTAACTGAAGTCTACCATGGTCCTACAACCAAACTTCTGTGGAGACATTTTAAATCTGCTTTCTTGCTGAGTGTCCACAGCTACTGTCTCTAAGTTCCCAGTTTCCCGACAGTTATTGTTCTTATGGGTATGTGCTTATTATCATAGCACTCAATAAAGTCTACTAAATGAATGTTTAACAATTAGTCAAATACTGACCAAGAGATAGTTAAACTAAGGAAAGAGATGAAATACTGATGTTAAAATGGGGTTTAGGCCGGGCGCAATAGCTCGCGTCTGCAGTCCCAGCTCTTTGGGAGGTTGAGGTGGGTGGATCACCTGAGGTCGGGAGATTGAGACCAGCCTAGCCAATATGGTGAAACCCTGTCCCTGCTAAAAGTACAAAAATTAGCCGGGCATGGTAGCAGGAACCTGTAATCCCAGCTACTCCAGAAACTGAGGCAGGAGAATCGCTTGAACCCGGGAGGCAGAGCAAAACTCTGTCAAAAAAAAAAAAAAAAAAAAGAGGTTTAAAGATGAGAATGAGAAGCTTTTGTAAAGTTACGGTGAAAAAAGGAGTTTTCCAGGAATTATGTTGGAAGAAAAATATCTGTAAAATACATGACTTAGGAATCCCTGGTCCCCTTAGAGTAGCTAAAAGTTATGTTAGCACCATATCATTTTTATGCAATGTTAAATAGTGTTGAATTCCCTAGCTGGGTTTCAGATACATACCCAGGAAGACAACACATCTGTTTCAAATAGAGGTTTGGAATGAACATTTTCATCTTCTCCAATGAATCGAATGAGTTTTTCCTTCTCTGTAGATGTTGAAGGTTGCTAGAACACAGAAACATGCGGACCTGTTAGCAAGCTGGTGTAGCACCCCAGCAAGTTTCCTGGCACGGTAGCAAGTTTCCTGGCACCATGTTGGAAGCTTACATTTTCCATTTCCTTTAATCACACAACAAGAATTTTTGAAGACTTTCACATAGCAAACGCTGTGAAAAACTGGTAGGATGGGGAGTGTGGACAAGGGGATATAACTATGGGAAAAACAAAGAGGATTTCTTCCAGCTTCCAGGAACTGACAGTACTATAGGAGAGATAGATAATAAAATGAATAATTATGGTATAACATGATTACTGTTAGCATAAAAGTGTGCTCCAAGGGCTGTGCACACCCAGAAAAGGGTCATGCCTTCTTCCTAGGTACTTCAGGAATTATTAACAGAGAAAGTGATATTTAAAGGCCGAACAGGTGCTTGTAAAATAGAGAGGACAGGGGCTCAACTAAGTCTACAGGTGGTAGTAGTAATAGCAGTAGTTGCAGTAGTAATGGTTTTGTTACCAGAAAAGGGGTCTTATCCCAGACCCCAAGAGCAGGTTCTTCGATCTCACACAGGATAAAATTCAGGGTGAGTCTCAGAGTATAGTAAAGTAAAAGCAGTTTACTAGAAATTACTCTATTACAGAGTTGGGTATCCTCAGAAAGCAAGAGGAGAAATGCCCTTAACATAAACATAATGCTTGCTTATATAGGATATTAACACTAAGAATAGTGTACTTTATTATAAAGGCTGGTGATCAGCTTGTGACAGGCTATTAGTATTATTATTCTCTAGTGTAACTGTTGACTTCAGCAATAATTTATGAGTATACTGTCAGAGACGTATGAACCAGAAAAACTCCATCTTAAAGAGTAGCTGGGTACAATGAGGCTAAAACCCACTGGGCTGCCTCCCCAGATGGTTAAGGCATTCTAAGTCATAGGATGAGACAAAAGGTCAGCACAAAATACAGGTCATAAAGACCTTGCTGATAAAACAGGTTGCAGTAAAGAAGCCGGTCAAAACCCACCAAAACCACAATGGCCACAAGAGTGACCTCTGGTTGTCCTCACTGCTATACTCCCATCAGCGCCATGACAGTTTACAAATGCCATGGCAATGTCAGGAAGTTACCCTATATGGTCTAAAAAGGGGAGGCATGAATAATCCACCCCTTGTTCAGCATATCATCAAGAAAATGGGCAACCAGCAGCCCTTAAGGCTACTCTGTCTATGGAGTAGCTGTTCTTTTATTCTTTTACTTTCTTAATAAACTTGCTTTCACTTTGGACTGCAAACTCGCTCTGAATTCTTTCTTGTGCAAGATCCAAGAATCCTCTCCTGGGCTCTGAATCATGACACCTTTCCTGTAACAGTACCATTATCTTTAAAGTGAAACCCATTTTTAAACTGAGAATGCCTTTTTCCATTAACTCGTTTCCTCAACCATAAACATCTTGTGACTAAGAGTGTCCAATTTCCTGGGAAAGTAACCCAGTAGGTTTTGCTTTATCTGGACTTTATTCAAGATGGAGTCACTCTGGTTAAGACACCTCTGACAATTTCCATTTATTCTGTGCCTTCTACATACCAAGCACTTTACCAGAAATAAAACAGAAAATGCTGATTGAAATAGGCTTGGGTGTTATATAATATTTTTGTTCTGTTGTCCTGCCTGTGCAGTGAGTAGAAGACCTATTTCAGAGCCTGGAGTCATGCCAACACTTAAACTATATACAGAGAAGAAATATATCAAAGAAGTAAATCAAGACATTGTAGAGAGTGTTAGGCAATCATGAGTTCTAGGAAGCCAAAGGCAGTAGTAGTCAATCTAAGAATTAGCAAGGGGTCTTGTGCCAGACTTAACTGGGTTTGAATATCGGTTCTGCCACTTACAGCTATATGATTTTGAGTAAATCAGTCAACCTCTCTGAGCTTCAGTTTTCTTATCTGTAAAATGGGGGCAATAATATAAACCTTGAAGTTGTGTTGCATAGATAAGAGATAATATGTGCAAAGTATATCACTCATGATAGGCACTCAATTTTTGGTAATCATCGTATTATTATTATTATTACAAATGTCCCAGGAAGGGTTTTTATTACTACAAATGCCCCTGCGGGGGTTGAGACGGGGTAAAGAGAGGAGAGGTCTGGTGATGGGCCTGGGAGGAGGGCAAAAGGCAGCTCAGAATGGGAGCTGAAGAAGTAGAAATATGGAGTTTTAAAGTGTTATCTGAAAAAATGTGGCAATGAAGGGCTAAAAAAATAGTACCAGAGTGAGAAGTAGATTGTGTAGTTAATAGGAATAAAAGTATAAATGAGGCTAATGGGAAATGGCTGGATTTAGAAGGGAAAAGGAACATTCCCTTCCTCTGAAAATAAAGTGACAAAGATAAATATTTCTGCAGGTTTGGCTAAATCTATATGAGGAAAAGAAGGAAACTGGAGTTCACTCCAGACCACCTACTTCTATTCTCCACTGTCTGTGTGTGTCTATAATTTTCCCCCCACTATATATGTCTGTGTATATATATATATATGGTCCAAGCATGGTGGCTCATATCTGTAATCCCAGCACTTTAGGAGGCTGAGGTAAGAGGATCGCTTGAGACCAGTTCAAGACCAGCCTGGGCATAGCAAGATCCCATCTCTATAAAAAAAATTTTAAAAATTAGCTAGGCATGGTGGTGCATGCCTGTAGTCCTAGCTACTCAAGAGGCTGAGGCAGGAGGATCATTTGAGCCCCAGAGTTCGAGGTTACAGTGAGCTATGATGATACCACAGCACTCCAACCTGGGTGACAGGGCAGGACCCTGTCTCTAAAATATATGTATGTATGTATGTATGTATGTATGTAGGAGGAAAAACAAATACCAAATAATCTTACTTCTTCTGCTCTCTCTTTATTTTCCTCCTGAAGTTTCCTATCCTCCTTACTTTCTTCTTCATCTTCTTTAAAAGACTCGTCTATTTCAGGCTCAATGAATTCTTTTACAGCCTCCTGTGAGATGAACCAATATTATGATTAAAGGGTGTATATAAATATTAGCAATTATTTGTTCAAAATATTTAATGAGCACTAATCCTGCAGCTGGGTACTGTGCTAGTGACAAGGATACAAAGGTTGATAAGAATAGTCCCTGTCCTTAAGAAACTTATTAATTTCACGGACAAGAAAATACAATGAATGCATACATTCACATAGTAGGAGCACCTAATTTAGACCAGGTAGTGGACTGGGTAAAAGAGGGAGTTGGTTAGGAAGGTTTCCTGAAGGAGATAATGTTTGAGTTTTTTTCTTGAAGGATGGGGAAGGAAAAGAAGCAGCTCTGGGCAGAGGATGTTCCATGCACATGATTGGATCTGAGAGAGCATAGTTCAATAGGACAAAAACTGGGAGACAAATGAATAGGAGTGCAATCAGAGAGAAAGGGCTAGACTGTCAAGCCAGGGAGATGATTGGCTCTTATCCTGAAGGCAATGAGGCTCTAATAAATTGGTTGATTTGCTTTGCATTTCAAAACAATCATTCTAGCAACAGGAGAATAGCTTTAAAGAAGAGGAAGAAAGGGAAGCAGAGGAAGAGAAAAGGAGCGTGAACAAAACAGTGGCTGCGGGAATGAAGAGAAGGAAAAGGAGGATTTAAGAGATATTTAAGAGGCAAGTCCTAGTGATTGACTGGATGGACACGGGATGGTTAGAGAAAATGTGCATCTTGAATGACACTTAGTTTACAGTTTAGACCACTAGAGAGATGACAATGCCATTCACAGAGACAATGAACAAAACTGGATAAATAGGTTTGGAGAGAGAGATGAGTTCAGATTAGGCTGTGAGAGTTGGAGGTACCACTGAGATACCCAAGTGAAAATACCCAGCAAGAAGGTGAATATATGGATCTGGAGTTTAAGATGGAAGAATTTGGGCTAAAAATAGAGATCTGACAGTCATCTGCCTTTAATTAAAGCCAAGAAAGTAAATTATATCCTAAAGGCAAACTTGTGAAGTAGCCAGAGAATTAGACAGTAACCCAGTTACATAAAATGCTAGGGATCTATGGAAAACAGTGTAGTGATTCCTTAAAGAACTAAAAGTAGATCTACCATTTGATCCAGCAATCCCACTCCTGGGTATCTACCCAGAGAAAAAGCAGTCATTATATGAAAAAGATAATTTTACATGCATGTTTATAGCAGCACAATTCACAATTGCAAAAATATGGAACCAGCCCAAATGCCCATCAATCAATGAGTGAATAAAGAAAATGTGGTATATATACACCATGGAATACCACTCAGCCATAAAAAGGAATGAAATAATGGCATTTGGAGACTGTTATTCTAAGTAAAGTAACTCAGGAATGGAAAACCAAATATTGTACGTTCTCACTCATAAGTGGGAGCTAAGCTATGAGGATGCAAAGCCATAAGAATGATACAATGGACTTTGGGGATTCAGGGGAAAAGGGTGGGAGGTGAGGAGGGATAAAAGACTACACATTGGGTACAGTGTACACTGCTTGGGTAATGGGTGCACCAAAATCTGAGAAATTATCACTAAAGAACTTACTCATGTAACCAACTATGACCTGTTCCCCAAAAACCTATTGGGAAAAAAAAAGGAATGATGTTCTGATGCAGGCAACAATGTGGCTGACCTCTGAAAACACTATGCTAAGGGAAATAAGCACAAAAGGCCACATATTATATAATTCCATTTACATGACATGTCCAGAATAGGCAAATCCATAGAGCCAGAAACCGTGTGGTGTTTCCAGGGCCTGAGAAGAAAGGGGAAATTTGAGTGACTGCTAACCAGTATGGATTTTCTTTTTGGGAATGATTAAAATGTTCTGGAATTCAATAGTGATTATCACTGTACAACTTTGTGAATATACCACAAACTATTACTGAATTGTACATATTACATGAATTGTGTCTCAATAAAGCTGTTATTTTTAGAAAAATAATTTGGCCACTCCACATTGTACACATACTTCAAAACATCATGTTGTACACAATAAATATATACAATTTTTATTTGTCAATTAAAATAAATAAATAGGAAATTGCTGCCTCAAAAAAAAAAAAACAAAAACAATCAGATGAAATCAAAAGCCTATACTCAAGGAAAACAATAATAGATTTTCAAACCTCTGAAAAAAATAAAATGCTAGGGAAGAAAGAGGAGCCTGAAAAGGCAGCCAGAAGTAGCCTCTGAAGTATGAGAGGCCACGAGGAAAGCCAAAAGAGAAGAAAGAAGGAGTCATCAGTATTGAACACCTCAAAGGAGTCTACTCATATAGATTTAAAAACATCCTCTGGGTGTTTACAGCAGCAATATTTATAAAAGCAAAAGCTAGCAATAAGCTCAATGCCCACAATAGGAAAATGCACAAATAAATTATGGTGTAAGCCATATAACAAAATACTTTATAGCAATGTTAAATTATGCTATAGAAATATGTGTACAGTATAGAAAAATAGTCACAATGTGACTAAAAAATTAGGATATTTTTACAAAATGAAAATACTTTTTTTCTTGATAACATTCTTGCTATAAAATATTTGAACACTACAGAGGAATTAAGAATCTTAACTCTCAGAGTTAACAATTTTTATCATTTGCTGAATATTCTGCTAGACTGCTTTTTGCATCTATAAACATTTTAATATAAATGAGATAATATATCTTATATTCTATAATCTGCTTTTCTCAATAATATATCATGGATTATATTTATTTAACTACTTAAACATCTACTTTATCTGCATAGAATTCCATTATTTCAATGTACCATGTTGTATTTAACTAATCTCCTACTGATCAACATTCATATTGTTTCTAGTATTTTGCTATTATACTATGCTGTAATAAACATTCTTATACAGATACATCATATATTAGAATTATCAAACAGACTACAAAAGTTATACTTAACCTATTTAAAGAAATAAGAGATTGAAAATATGAGCAAAGACAGAAAGATTACAAAAATGATGAGACTTGAAAAAGAATCAAATAGGACTTCAGCAATTTAATTTAAAAACTCAACAGAAAGGTTTAATGGCAGATGAAATTCAATTGGAGGGCAAATTAGTGAACTGGATAGTAAGCCAGAAAAATTATTCAGGATGCAATGCAGAGAAATAGAGAGAGAATATGAAAGAAGGTTAAGAGACATGGGGGATTGATTCCAACACACATTCATTTAGAGTTCTAGAAGGAAAGAAGAGAGCAAATGCAGTAGAGGCAATATTTGAATAGATGACTGAGAATTTTCCAGATCTAACAAAAGATACCAAATTAAAGATTCAGGAAATCAAGAGAATCCCAAGCAAAATTTAAAAGAAAAGAAAATCCATCTCCACATTAATCAGAGCAAAGACAAAAAGACGACCTTAAAAATAGAGAGAAGAGATGAATTCACTTCAAAGGAACTGACAGCTGGATTCTCAATGGTCAGTTCAATAACAACAAAATCCAGAAAACAGTAAAAATAATAACGATGTGCTGAGAGAAAAGAATACCATCCCAGAATCAATAGCATACCCAGCAAAAAAAAAAAAAAAAAAATGTAAGAATGAGGGTGAAATAAAGGCATTTTCAGACAAACAAAAACTGAGTTTGCCACCAGGATATCTTCACTAAAGAAAATTCTACAGGTTAAGGTAGAAGACAAATGACCCAAGGTGGATATCTGAGACTTTTGAAGAAAGAACAAATAAATTAAATTATAAATCAGCTCCAATGCCAGCATATTTCTTAAAGGTAAATCACTAAAGGCATTCCTGCTAAAGTCAGAAACAAGAAAAGGATGCTTGTTATCTCCACTACTATTTAATATTGAATTAGAAGAATTATTCAATATAATTAAAAAAGAAAAAGCAACTAGAAGTATCAGAATTGAAAAGAAAGAGGTAAAACTATCCCTATTTGTAGGTGATTTGATTAAGTATCTAGAAAACCCCAAAGAATCCACTGAAAAACTACTAAAAACAGTAAGAGGAAGAGCAGCAGGAGGAGGAGAGAGAAATACAGTAAGAGAATTTAGTAAAGTCACAGCATATAAAATTAAAATAGGAATGGTGGTGAACATCTGTAAGCCCAGCACTTTGGGAGGCTGAGGCAGGAGGATCACTTGAGCCCAGGAATTCAAGCCAGCCTAGGCAACATAGCAAGACCCTGTCTCTGCGAAATTAAAAATTAGCCAGGCATGGTGCCACGCACCTATAATCCCACATAGTCCGGAGGCTGAGGTGGGAGGACTTCTTGAGCACAGGAAGTCAAGGCTGCAGTGAACCATAACTGGACCGCTGAACTCCAGCCTGGGTGACAGAGTATGATCCAATCTCAAAAAATAAAACAAAATTAAATTAAATTAAATTAAAATACAGAAATTGATTATATATATATAGTCTGTATATATATAATATATATAAATATGCTGTATATATATATAACTGTATATATATATACAGTTACTAGTTAGAAGATATAATGGAAAAGAATGTCTCATTTAAAATAGCAAAAAATAAAATATTCAGGCATAAACCTAATAAGAAACGTACAAAATAAGCAAACAAATAAGATATGATTTAAAGGCATAAAAGTAGACATCCTATATTCCATATTCTTGGATAATACAATTCAGCATCATAAACATGTCTACTCTAAGTTAATATATAAATTTAATATTATGCTAGTTTTAAAAAATCTTATTTTTAAGAACTAGCTTATAAAGTTATATAGAAAAATAGCCAGGTGCAGTGGTGCATGCCATAGTCCCAGCTACTCTGGAGGCTGAGGCAGGAGGATCACTTAAGCCCAGGAGTTTGAGACCAGCCGAGGCAACATCAAGACCCTGTCTCTAAAAAATAAATAAATAAATAAAAGGAAGAATAAGTAAGCAAGAATAGCAATGAAATGCCTGAAAAAGATCAGTGATGAGGGCTGGTCCTACCAGATATGAAAATGTATCGTAAGAAAGTCAAACTATCCCTGTTTGCAGATGACATGATCCTATATCTAGAAAACCCCATTGTCTCAGCCCAAAAGCTTCTTAAGCTGATAAACAACTTCAGCAAAGTCTCAGTATACAAAATCAGCATGCAAAAATCACTAGCATCCCTATACATTAACAATAGTCAAGCCAAGAGCCAAATCACAAATGAACTCCCATTCACAATTGCCAGAAAAAGAATAAAATACCTTAGGAATATAGCTAACTAGGAAGGTGAAAGATCTCTAAAAGGAGAACTACAAACCACTGCTCAAAGAAATCACAGATGACACAAATGGAAAAACATTCCATACTCATAAAAAGGAGGAATCAATATCGTTAAAATGGCCATACTGGCAAGGGCAATTTATAGATTCAATGCTATTCCTATCAAACTACCATTGACATTCTTCACAGAACTAGAAAAAAACTATTTTAAAATTCATAAGGAATCAAGAAGAAGCCTGAACAGTGAGGCAATCCTAAGAAAAAGAACAAAGCCGAAAGCATCACACTACCCAACTTCAAAGTATAGTACAGGGCTACAGTAACCAAAACAGCATGGTATAATACAAGAACAGACACATACACCAATGGAACAAAATGGAGAACCCAGAAATAAGACTTCACACCGACAAACCATCTGATCTTCAACAAAGCTGACAAAAACAAGCAATAGGGAAAGAATTCCCTATTCAGTAAATGGTGCTGGGATAACTGGATAGCCATATGGAGAAAACTGAAACTGGAACCCTTCCTTATGCCATATACAAAAATTAACTGAAGATGGGATTAAAGGCTTAAATGTAAAACCCAAAACTATAAAAACCCTGGAAGACAACCTTGGCAATACCATTCTGGACATAGAAACGGGAAAAGATTTCACAATGAAGATGCCAAAAACAATTGCAACAGAAGCAAAAATTGACAAATGGCATATCTAATTAAACTAAAGAGCTTCTGGACAGTAAAAGAAACTATCCATAGAGTAAACAGACAACCTACAGAATGGGAGAAAATTTTTGCAAACTATGTATCCGACAAAGGTCTAATATCCAACATCTATGAGGAACTTAAACAAATTTACAAGCAAAAAACAACCCCATAAAAAAGTGGGCAAAGGACATGAACAGACAGTTTTGAAAAGACAAAAATGTGGCCAATAATCATATGAGAAAAAGCTCAACATCACTGATCATTAGAGAAATACAACTCAAAACCATAATGAGCTACCATCTAACACCAGTCAGAATGGCAACTATTATAAAGTCAAAAAATAACAGATGCTGGCAAGGTTGTGGAGAGAAAGGATCACTTATATACACTGTGGTGGGAGTGTAAATTAGTTCAGCCATGGTGGAAGACAGCGTGGTGATTCTTCAAAGATCTAAAGACAGAAATATCATTTGACCCAGCAATCCCATTACTAAGTATATACCTGAAGGAATATAAATCATTCTATGATAAAGACACATGCATGCATATGTTCACTGCAGCACTATACACAATAGCAATGACATGGAACTAACCTAAATATCCATCAATGATAGACTAGATAAAGAAAATGCAGTACATATACACCATGGAATACTATGCAGCCATAAAAAAGAATGAGATCATGTCATTTGCAGGGACATGGATGGAGCTAGAGGCCATTATTCTTAGCAAACTAACACAGGAAGAGAAAACCAAATACTACATTTTCCCTGTTAAGTGGGACCTAAATGATGAGACCACATGGACACACAAAGGGGAACAATACATACTGGGGCCTTTCGGATGGTGGAGGATGGACAGAGGGAGAGGATCAAGAAAAACAGCTAATGGGTACTAGGCTCAATACCTAGGTGATGAAATAATCTGTACAACAAACCTCCATGACACAAGTTTACCTTTGTGACAAACCTGCACATGTACCCCGAACTTAAAAGTCAAAAAAAAAAAAAAGAAAAAGGAAAATGTATCATAAAGCCTCAATAATTAAAATATTGTGGTAATGACCCACTAATAGACAGATCAATAGAAAAGAATAGAAAATCAAAAAATAGACTTAGGTTGAATACAGCTGTTTTTAAATGTTGGAAATATTATCATATGGAAGACAAATCAGCCCTGTTCATATTAACCAGAAAAGACTGAACTAGGACCAGTTCGCAGAAAAAGCTAAAGCTACGAGGAGACATATTACATTTAGTTCAATAGAAAGAATTAATGTTCTAATACTCAGTGCTCACCAAAAATGAATGGAGTCTTTCTGAAAGTAGTTCTCTGTCACTTCAGATATTCAAACTTAAGCATAATGATCAAGTATGGATGTTATATTAAGACTCATCATCAGATAAAAGAGAAGATCATCCTGGTGGATGGGAAGTAGGACTAGATTGTAGCTCCAACTCAGATGGACAGAGCAGTGTGTGGAGGCTCACGTGAGAAATTTTAGCTCCAGAATGACTGCAAGAACAAAGCAGGAATCCCGAGAGGACCCAAAGACCCTCCGAAGGCAGTGGACTGCTCCTGCAGGACCTGGGAGACACCCCAAATACTGTGAGTGCCCAAACTGCGAAAGTGGGAAAGGGAGACCCTCCACTCCCAAACACACCCCCACTGGGGAAACTGAAGGTCTGGTTTGCAGGAGAAGTTTCCAACCTTACCTGGAGCTGAGTCAATTTAGAGAGCCGAGCAAAATACAGGGGTAGAGGAAGCAGCAGGAAAGGCTCTGGGAGTTCGCAGGGTCCCCAAGCAGGCCATTCCTGCCTGGCACCACAGGGATCCTTCGGGAGGGCGGCCAGAGGCACAGGGGAAAACGCCCCAAGGAGAAGGAAGTCTCCAGCTGAACTTTGTAACAATTTGAATCGGGCGAGGTGCCTCCCGCTAGAACTCAGGGGAGGGCATGAATCCAGTGTACAGACTCCACAGGGGGAAGAACAACCAAAACTCTTTTCTTTTGCAGCTGGGAGGCAGGTAGCATGGGACAAGTTCTCAAGTCCTGCTTGCCCACTGCCTGGAAACAGCCTTAAGGCTGTTAGTAGGGGCATGGTGGGAGTAAGACCAGCCCTTCAGATTGTGTGGAGACCAGGTGAGGTCTGTGACCGCCTGCTTTCCCCCACTTCCCTGACAACCTGCATGACTCAGCAGAGGCAGCCATAATCCTCCTAGGTACATAACTCCACTGACCTGGGAAACTCACCCCCATTCCCCACAGCAGCCACAGCAAGACCTGCCCAAGAAGAATCTGAGCTCAGACACGCCTAGCCCTGCCCCGACCTGGTAGCTGAAGACAAAGGGTGGGTAGGGTATATGAAGAAATATACTCTTGGGAGTTCTGGGGCTCTGCCCACCACCAGTTCCTCTCCATACTATCACAGCTGATGCTCTTTGGAAAGTGCCACCTCCCGGCAGGAGACCAAGCAGCACAAAAACAGAACATTAAACCACCAAAGCTAAGAACCCTCACGAACTGTTTCACCCCCGCTGCCACCTCCACTAGAACAGGTGCTGGTATCCACGACTGAGGGAGCCATAGACGGTTCACATCACAGGACTCTGTGCAGATAACCCCCAGCACCAGCCCAGAACCAGGTAGGCTTGCTGGGTGGCTAGACCAAGAAGAGAGATAACAATTACTACAGTTCAGCTCATAGGAAGCCACATCCATAGGAAAAGGGGGAGAGTACTACATCAAGGGAGAACCCCATGGGACAAAAGAATCTGAACAAAAGACTTCAGCTCTATACCTTCCCTCTGACAGAGCCTACCCAAATGAGAAGGAACCAGAAAACCAACTCTGGTACTATGACAAAACAAGGCTCTTTAACACCCCCAGAAAATCACACTAGCTCACCAGCAATGGTTCCAAACCAAGAAGAAATCCCTGATTTACATGAAAAAGAATTCAGGATGTTAGTTATTAAGCTAATCAGGGAGGCACCAGAGAAAGGCGAAGCCCAATGCAAGGAAATCCAAAAAAATGATACAAGAAGGAAAGGGAGAAATATTCAAGGAAATAGATGGCATAAAGAAAAAGCAATCAAAACATCAGGGAAATTGGGCACACTTACAGAACTGCAAAATGCTCTGGAAAGTCTCAGCAATAGAATTGAACAAGTAGAAGAAAGAAATTCAGAGCTCGAAGACCAGGTCTTCGAATTAACCCAATCCAACAAAGACAAAGAAAAAAGAAAAAGAAAATATGAACAAAGCCTCCAAGAAGTCTGGGATTATGTTAAATGACCAAACCTAAGAATAATTGATGTTCCTCATAGTGTACTTATACAAATGGAGGGTATAGCCCACCACACACACCTTGGCTATATGATATAACCTTTTGCTCCCAGGCTATAAACCTGTACAGCATGTACTACACTGAATACTGTAGGCAACTGTAACACAATGGTTTGTATCTGTGTATCTTAACATAGAAAAGGTATAGTAAAAATACAGTCTTATAATCTTATGGGACTGCTATCTTATCTGCAGTCTGTTGTTAACTAAAACATCCTTATGCAGTGCATGACTGTATCTTGCAATTTCTTAACTTTTGCCAATATGATGAGTAAAAAAAATGAACCCTCATTTGTACTTTAACTTACATTATAATTTTTTTGTGGATTAAAAAAAAGAATAATTGATGTTCCTGAGGAAGAAAAGAAATCTAAAAGTTTGGAAAACATATTTGGGGGAATAATTGAGGAAAACTTCCCTGGCCTCGCTAGAGATCTAGACATCCAAATACAAGAAGCACAAAGAACACCTGGGAAATTCATCGCAAAAAGATCATCACCTAGGCACGTTGTCATCAGGTTATCTAAAGTTAAGACGAAGAAAAGAATCTTAACATCTGTGAGACAAAAGCATCAGGTACCCTATAAAGGAAAACCTAACAGATTAACAGCAGTTTTCTCAGCAGACACCCTACAAGCTGGAAGGGATTGGGGCCCTATCTTCAGCCTCCTCAAACAAAACAATTATCAGCCAAGAATTTTGTATCCAGCGAAACTAAGCATCATATATGAAGGAAAGATATAGTCTTTTCCAGACAAACAAATGCTGAGAGAATTCGCCACTACCAAGCCACCACTACCAAGAACTGCTAAAAAGAGCTCTAATCCTGGAAACACATCAAAACAGAAGCTCTTTAAAGCATAAATCACACAGGACTTATAAAACAAAAAAAATGAAAATTTAAAAAGCAAAAATAAAAAACAAAAAACCAAGGTACAAAGTCAACAAATAGCACGATGAATGGAATGGTATCTCACATCTCAATAGTAACATTGAATGTAAATGGCTTAAATGCTCTACCTAAAAGATACAAAACTGCAGAATGGATAAGAACTCACCAACCATCTGCTCCCTTCAGGATACTCACCTAACACATAAGGACTACATAAACTGAAATAAAAAGGTTGGAAAAAGCATTTCATGCAAATGGACACCAAAAGCGAGCAGGGGTAGCTATTCTTATATCAGACAAAACAAACTTTAAAGCAACAGCAGTTGAAGAGACAAAGAGGGACATTATATAATGGTAAAGGCCTTGTCCAACAAGAAAATATCACAATCCTAAACATATATGCACCTAACACTGGTGCTCCCAAATTTGTAAAACAATTACTAACAGACCTAAGAAATGAGATAGACAGCAATACATAACAGTGGGGGACTTCAATACTCCACTGACAGCACTAGACAGGACATCAACACAAAAAGTCAACAAAGAAACAATGGATTTAAACTATACCTTGGAACAAATGGACTTAGCAGATATATACAAAACATTTTCTCCAACAACCACAGAATACACATTCTATTCAACAGTGCACAGAACCTTCTCCAAGATAGACCATGTGATAGGCCACTAGATGAGCCTCAATAAATTTAAGAAAATTGAAATTATATCAAGCACTCTCTCAGAGTGGAATAAAATTGGAAATCAACTCCAAAAGGAACCTTCAAGACCATGCAAATACATGGACGTTAAATAACCTGCTCCTGAATGATCATTTGGTCAAAAACAAAACTCAGACGGAAATTAAAAATTCTTTGAACTGAACAACAATAATGACACTACCTATCAAAACCTCTGGGATACAGCAAAGGCTGTGCTAAGAGAAGAGTTCATAGCATTAAATGCCTATATCAAAAAGACGGAAAGAATACAAACCGACATTCTAAGGTCACACCTCAAGGAACTAGAGAAACAAGAACAAACCAAACCCAAACCCAGCAGAAGAAAGGAAATAACCAAGATCAGAGCAGAATTAAATGAAATTGAAATAAACAAACAAAAAAAATACAAAAGATAAATGAAACAAAAAGCTAGTTCTTGGAAAAGATAAATAAATTTGATAGACTATTAGCAAGATTAACCAAGAAAAGAACAGAAAAAATCCAAATAACCTAATTAAGACACAAAACTGGACATATTACAACTGACACCGCTGAAATACAAAAGATCATTCAAGGCTACTAAGAACATCTTTATGCACATAAACTAGAAAACCTAGAAGAGATGGATAAATTCCTGGAAAAATACAACACTCCTAGCTTAACTCAGAAAGAATTAGATACCCTGAACAGACCAATAGCAAGCACCAAGATTTAAATGGTAATTAAAAAATTACCAACAAAAAAAAAGTCCAGGACCAGAAGGATTCACAGCAGAATTCTACCAGACATTCAAAGAATTGATACCAATCCTTTTGACACTATTCCACAAGATAGAGAAAAAAGGGAACCTTCCCTAATTCATTCTATGAAGGCAGAATCACCCTAATACCAAAACCAGGAAAGGACATATCTAAAAAAGAAAACCACAGACTGACATCCCTGATAAACACAGACACTAAAATCTTTAACAAAATACTCGCTAACTGAATCCAACAACATATCAAAAAGATAATCCACCATGATCACGTGGGTTACATAGCAGGGATGCAGGGATGGTTTAACATACACAAGTCAATAAATGTGATACACCACATAAACAGAATTAAAAACAAAAGTCACATGATCATCTCAATAGATGCAGAAAAAGCATTCAACAAAATCCAGCATCCCTTTATGATTAAAACTCTCAGCAAAATCAGCATACAATGGACATAACTCAATGTATTAAAAGCCATCTATGGCAAATCCACAGCAAACATAATATTGGATGGGGAAAGCTGAAAGCATTCTCTCTGAGAACTGGAATGAGACAAGGATACCTACCCACTCTCACCACTCCTCTTCAACATAGAACTGGAAGTCCCAGCCAGAGCAATCAGACAAGAGAAGGAAATAAAGGACACCCAAATTGGTAAAGAGGAAGTCAAACTGTCATTGTTTCCTGACAATATGATCATTTACCTTGAAAACCCTAAAGACTCTCCAGAAAGCTCCTAGAAATGATAAAAGAATTCAGCAAAGTTTCCGGATACAAGACTAATGTACACAAATCAGTAGCTCTTCTCTACACCAACAGCTACCAAGCGGAGAGTCAAATCAAGAACTCAACCCCTTTACAACAGCTGCAAAAATAATAAAATACTTAGAGATATACCTAACCAAGGAGGCAAAAGACCTCTATAAGGAAAACTACAAACACTGCTGAAAGAAATCATAGACAACATAAACAAATGGAAACACACCCCAAGCTCACGGATGAGTAGAATCAATACTGTGAAAATAGCCATACTGCTAAAAGCAATCTACAAATTCAATGCAATCCCCATCAGAACACCACTATCATTCTTCACATAATTAGAAAAAAAAATTCTAAAATTCATATGAAACCAAAATAGAGCCCGCATAGCCAAAGCAAGACTAAGCATGAAGAACAAATCTGAAGGCATCGCACTACCTGATTTCAAACTATACTATAAGGCCATAGTAACCAAAACAGCATGGTACTGGTATAAAAACAGGCATATAGACCAATGGAACAGAATAGAGAACCCAGAAATAAATCCAAATACTTATAGCCAACTGATCTTCAACAAAGCAAACAGAAACATAAAGTGGGGAAAGGACACCCTTTTAAACAAATGGTGCTGGGATAATTGGCTAGCCACATGTAGGAGAACGAAACTGGATCCTCATCTCTCACCTTATACAAAAATCAACTCAAGATGGATTAAGGACTTAAATCTAAGACCTGAAACTATAAAAATTCTAGACATAACATTGGAAAAACCCTTCTAGACATTGGCTTAGGCAAAGATTTCATGACCAAGAACCCAAAAGCAAATGCAATAAAACAAAGATAAATAGCTGGGGCTTAATTAAACTAAAGAGCTTTTGCACAGCAAAAGGAACAGTCAGCAGAGTAAACAGACAACGCACAGAGTGGGAGAAAATCTTCACAATCTTTACATCTGACAAAGGACTAATATCCAGAATCTAAAACAAACTCCAACAAATCAGCAAGAAATGAAACAAACAATCACATCAAAAAGTGGGCTAAGGACATGAATAGACAATTATCAAAAGAAGAGACACAAATGGCCAACAAATATATGAAAAAAAGCTCAGCCTCACTAATGATCAGGGAAATGCAAATCAAAACGACAATGCAATACCACCCTACTCCTGCAAGAATGGCCATAATCAAAAAATCAAGAAACGGTAGATGTTGCCATGAATGCGGTCATCAAGGAACACTTCTACACTGCTGGAGGGAATGTAAACTAGTAGAGCCACTATGGAAAACAGTGTGGAGATTCCTTAAAGAACTAAAAGTAGAATTACCATTTGATCCAGCAATCTCATTACTGGGTATCTACCCAGAGGAAAAGAAGTCATTATAGGAAAAAGATGCTTGCACACGCATGTTTATAGCAGCACAATTCACAATTGCAAAATCATGGAACCAACCCAAATGCCCATCAATCAACAAGTGGATAAAAATCTGTGGTGTATATACATATACACACACACACACACACACACACACACACCCCATATACCATATACTATGTATATATTATACCATATATATGTGGTAGTGTGTGTATATATATATAAAATCATATTATGTATATGATTGGAATATATATATATATACACACACTACCATATTATATATGTATATATATGATGGAATGCTACTCAGCCATGAAGAGGAATGAATTAACAGCATTTTCAGTGACCTGGATGAGACTGGAGAAACTTTTTTTTTTTGTGGGGGACAGAGTCTCACTCTGTCGCCCAGGCTGGAATGCAGTGGCGTGATCTCGGCTCACTGCAGCCTCCACCTCCTGGGTTCAAGCGATTCTCCTGCCTCAGCCTCCTGAGTAGCTGGGACTACAGGAGACTCTTATTGTAAGTGAAGTAGCTCAAGAATGGAAAACGAAACACCATATGTTCTCACTGATGTGTGGGAGCTAAGCTATGAGGATGCAAAGGCATAAGAATGATACAATGGACTTTGGGGATTTGGGGGGAAGGGTGGGAGGGGGGCAAGGGATAAAAGACTACAAATAGGGTGCAGTGTATACTACTCGAGTGATGGGTGCACCAAAATCTCAGAAATCACCACTAAAGAACTTACTCATGTAACCAAACACCACCTGTACCCCAGTAACCTATGGAAAAATAAAAAATAAAAGACTTGTCAGATTCATGCAAGGTTAAATTCAATTGCCTTTAAATTCCCTTCTGCTCTCACGTCTCTGATTCTGTACAGTTCCTTGATTTTTTCCTAGATCTGATACACCAAGATCATGTCGGTGGTATTTCATTAAGTTTCTCAAAGTATACTATAATTTACAATTTATAATGTTGATAAAATCATTCAGTGGTTATTTCACAATAATTCTTGCCAAGATCTAGACAGCACATTTGTTAAAGGTGAATAATTTAGAAAGATGATATTTCTTCAGTGTTTAAATGTAAAAAAAAAGTTTCATAAATGTGTAGATAGAACCTTCCCCTTCTTTCTCAGACCCAAGACACTGACATATAGGCCATCAGATCATACCTGTATAGTATGACTCTGATAACAATGGGAGCTTCTTCAGAATTTACTGGAGGAGAACGCCTTCAAAGAGGCTGAAATACAAACAAGAGTTGAGTTTGTGATGGCACATGATAGTCACTGATTTGAGATTCTCGGTAAGCAGGTGGCAATGAAAACCACAGGAAACACAGTAATAGGTAGTGTGTACAAATGAGAAGTGAAAGCAAGCCAAGGACAGAATATCAACATTTAAGAGGCAGAAAAGGGTGAAACTCTAAAACAAGGGTGAAATAAAGAAGTAGGAGAAAAACCAGGACATTGTAAAAGGAGTGAATGGTTAAGAGAGCCAAATGCTACACAGAAGCCAGGTTAAATACAAAATTGAAGATACTTGGATTTGGCAATAAGGAATCACTGGTGACCTTATAGTAGTTCTAGAGTTTTAAACAAATTGATTATGATGGAATGGAAAGAGAGAAAGAAGTAGCAGAGAGACAAGGTCAAGGGACATCCTTCTTAGGATGGGAGAAATGACCATGTTTTAGATTGCTTTTAGATTGATAAAATGGAACAATTAGAGAAGATATTAAAGAGGCAAAACAGAGAAGACATTGGACATGGGATTAAGTGCTCGAAGGAAGAAATAACCTTAAATGGAAAGACTGAGACTGGAGGGGAGGGAAAAGGGTGAGCACAGAAGCAGATGAACCTGAGGATATGCCTCAGGAAGTGGCAGGGAGCTTCTACCTGAAACCCATTCTTTCCTTTATAAAATCACCTGCTAAAAACATGACGCAAAATGCTGAGTGGATGATTCTATTCCTTAGAGGGAAGAAGAGCTGTGAAAGATCTTGATCAGAACCAAAATTCTCATATGTTAGGGTAAATGAACAAGGATTCAGAACATTGATTGGAAAAAGCTGTGAACCTTCTGTACTGAAATACAGGAATAATCTGAATAATGACCAACGCTAACATGTGGCAAATACCTCTTCAAGTAGCCGCTCTATTTCTTCATATGTCAATAATGTAATTTTTCTGCCTTTGATATTAGAAAGGAGGCAAGAGCATGTGTTGATCCATTCATAACATTCTTTCTGAGAAGAGATAAAAGATTACAAGCAGAAAAACCAGCTCATTTATTCACTCACCGCTATTGAGGAACTGATAAATACAATTCCTCTAAACATAACTATATTCAATTAACTTTATATCAGTTCAGTTCAAAGAGTTGTGCAGTGGTGACTGGCTATTAACATACACCTAAATCATATTATCTCTTATTGACACGGTGTGGGATCTGGGTTGTAATGGGACAGGGAGTAGTGAAGTGCCGTAAAAACAGATACAAAAAGATTGTTTTATTTACTAATGTCTAAATGGCCTCCTAATAAATTTTATGCAACTGACCAGGTCAACTGTGATTGCATAATAACAACAGAAGTAGCAAACACCTACCTTGTACTTAATTATATGCCAGACTCTGTTCTAAGCATTATGCATATATTAACTCATTTGATCCTCAGTATGAGACATTAACTATTATTATCCTCATTTTTTAAGATGAGGAAACTGAGAAATTGAGTAGTTAAATGTCTTGCTCAAGGTCACAAAAATAGTTAAGTATGATGCTTGGATTCTAATCTATGTGGTCTGTGCTTAACCACTAAAAAAAAAAATCCCTCTACTGCTAATAAAGTGAATGGATCAAGATTTGAGACACTTTTGGAAAAGGTGCTCACCTTTTATCTATTGAGATATGGGAAAGGTCTATAGCAGGTTTTAATCCCCTAAGGTAAATAGTTAAACTGTATTTACCAAGATCTCCTAACAGTTAAGAGCTGGTTTCAACGTTTAAAAGGTACATTATTCCTTATTAGTTAATAAAAGCCCTGAGAACTAGGAAACGTTGTCCTCTCTGGGAACAGAGATCTGGTCACTCTAGCCAAAAAACGGCAGCATGTGGTGAAATGACCCACTGTAGGCTCCTGAAATCAACCACAATGAGCAGTAATATACCTTATATTTCTTTCATTATTAGCCTTTTTTTTTTTTTTGAGACAGGGTCTTGCTCTGTTGCCCAGGCTAGAGTGCAGTGGCATCATCATAGCTCACTGCAGCCTCGACCCACTAAGCTCAAGTGATCCTCCCACCTCAGCCTCCCAAGTAGCTGGGACCACAGGTGTGCACCACCATACCTGGCTAATTTTTTTACTTTTTCTTGCCCAGGCTGGGCTTGTACTCCTGGACTTAAGCAATTCAGCCTCCCAAAATGCTGGGATTACAGGCATGAGCCACTGTACCTGGCCCAGATTTCTTTTAAATTGTGTAATTATTATGAAACATCAGAGCCAAAAATTTTAGAAATCAAATCTAAATCCATATGTTGTAGATAAAGAAACTGAAGCCTATAGTGGTAAAGTAAGTTTACTACAGCTTTGTTAATGTCACTGATGGTTAAATTCTGGATTCAGAGGGTTAGAATGGTATCTTATTGCATATCAGGAAGAAGAGTGGACAAGGCAGATGAAGGTGTTGGGTTTTAGTCCTAACTTCACCTAATTAGTTGAGAGTTCTTGAGTAAATGCCTAATAGTCCTTATCTTTTTTTTTTTAATGAAGCTGTTTGTTTACTCTAAGTGATCCATATGCAGTGGTGACCTGGTAAATGTTTAACAACCATTTCTGAGGGAGTTGGGGGAAGCCCTGATTTGTAGCAATTTCTGATTTCCATGGTGAAAACACTCTCACCAGGCAATTTCAGTGATATTCATCAATTCAGTATGTTATCACAGAATGTGGACTTGAGAAGGCTTGTATATAATTGGTTCTTGTGAGCCAGTGTGAGTTTCTATCACACCACTGCCCCTAAGTATCCTTCCAGATATAAAGCTTGACTAATACATTTTTTAACCTTTTTTTATTGTACCTAGAACAAAAAAATTTCAAAACTAGTCTGTAGTTGAATTTGCACGCTATGAAACAGATCCTGGTCATTTTCTTATAAATGTCTGAGACATTGGAGATACTGTCATAAGACTTCTGATGAGGAAAAAAATTATTAGGAGTCTTTTACAGTTTTACTGTAAACGTTTTACAATAATCTATAGAGTTCAGCAAGTTTTCCTTCAAAACCTTCAATAATACCTTTTTATCAGCTATAGACCAGGATAGCTTGGTTGCTAATTAATACCCATGAATCTCTTTCCATGAATATTCTTAATTGATTCTAATAAAGACTTCTGGTGTGAAGTAAAAGGACTAAAATTCATGTTTGGAGTGAAGGAGTATTTAAGAAGCAAGTGATAGTCCTAAATGTTAAGCCTATTGTAGCAGGAGAAACAGAAGGCCACAGGAGAGTCTTTTATAGGGTACCAGCAGTAAGACACTGGCTATAAATGGAGCTATTAAGAATCCATGATCCACAGATCCCCCCATAAGGAAGGAAAGCTGGGGCTTGAATTTACCTGCTAAAACATCTTGAGAGTAAGATTCCTACTACCACCATCTTCAGTCATAGTCCTTTTGGAGGACCAAATCCTGGAACCGGCAGTGCTATCTCTGGTGACATAAAGAAAGCCTATTGTGGTCCAAGGTGGATGGCAGACTACACAGGGCAGAGATGAGACCAAATGGCATAGAGGAAGTTTTGTTTTGTTTTTTTGACACAGAGTCTTACTCTGTCGCCCAGGCTAGAGTGCAGTGGTGCAATCTCGGCTCACTGCAACCTCCGCCTCCTAGGCTCAAATGATCCTCCTACCTTAGCCTCCTGAGTAGCTGAGACTACAGGCATGCCACCATGCCCGGCTAATTTTTGAATTTTCAGTAGAAACGGGGCTTCACTATGTTGGCCAGGCTGGTCTCGAACTGCTGACCTCAAGTGATCCACTTGCCTCAGCCTCGCAAAGTCTGGGATTACAGGTGTGAGCTACTGTGCACAGCCGGCATAGAGGAAGTTAATTGTAGCTGGAAGTCAAGTTTGAAGAGCGCCAGCTAGAGGTCCTCATTTCCATTATGGTAGGTATTTATTTGGTATATTTCCCTCCCATATATTCTCAGCACTGTCAGGTGCTGGTCAATGTGTGTCTTTTTTGTCAGTCTTGGCCTGCTGAAGGATATCTCAGAGGCCCTTCCCAGTAATCTGCCATTTGCTCAGATTATGACTATTCTTCAGTGTATCAGTGACTCTAATTCTAGGTCCTTGGAACAGTAGAGATAGTCAACCTAAAGCACTTGAAAAAAAAAATCCATCTAGCTTATCTGGCCTGGCTAAGTTTCCAGGCTTTCAGTAGCTGTTCTAGGCTGCAGTAGTTCTTGTATACTCTTACTGGATGCCAGGACTCTGATATAGTGCCTCCAAGTCTCACATGAAGCCTTATAACAAGGAATTCTCATCTCCAAGTGGAGTGGTTGCTATACAATGACATCAGTTTCTGTCTGAAATAGGCACAGGAGCAAGGATTCTCAGAACTGAGTCCTCCTAAAAAATGGCCTCCCGCTGTATGAGGTCAGACTGGATCAAGCTATGCCAGGATCAGGTGGATGGTAAATAATTAGCCCCTGGACTGCCTTAGTACTCTTGGGGAACTAGATAATCCCTATCTGTTTCTGAAGAAGCAATTTACCTAGACTGTTATGGAAAGTGGAGTAAGAATTTATATCAGTAGGGGTGATCAAACTCCAAAAGATGGTTACCTAGGAGATCTTCAATTTTTTTCTGTTTTTCTTTTTTCTTTTTTTTTTTTTGAGATGGAGTTTCGCTCTGTTGCCCAGGCTGGAATGCAGTGGAGCAATCTCGGCTCGGCACAACCTCTACCTCCCGGGTTCAAGGGATTCTCCTGCCTCAACCTCCTGAGTAGCTTGGAGGCACCCACTACCACACCTGGCTAATTTTTGTATTTTTAGTACAGACACAGTTTCACCATGTTGGCCAGGCTGGTCTCAAACTCCCGACCTCAGGTGATCTGCTTGCCTCAGCCTCCCAAAATGCTGGGATTACAGGCATGAACCACTGCACCTGGCCAAGATCCTCAGTTCTGAACCCTGTCCAGCATCATGCAAATCTCCTTGGCTGGAAAGAAGCAGAAACATTAGCTTGTGGGAAACTCTCACTAATGTCATCCAAATATCAGTCTAGTAGGTCAAATGCTAGAATGTGGCACAAGCCACACAGCATTACCATAGAGCTGCATTAGACAAGGCTTCTCTGGAAAACCATCTTCTTTTCACCTTGTGGGATGTGGATGAGGCCATAGAAATCCCAAAGTCTGATGTCATAAAGATTCATGTACCATAGAGGTTTGTCTAGATCAGGAGAAGATGGTAGCAGTCCAGGATGGTGATGAATTTGAAATAAAAATAACCTTCATGAAGATGGAACTAACCATTTTTTTAAAGAGTACCTCAGTATGGTCTGCTAAGCCCCTTACCATAAACTCGCTTGATATACCCTTGAGAGGCCTCAGGCTTAGGGAAAAGGCATATGCATTTTCTTAGCAGAAGAAGGCCTTTGCATAGGCTCAGTTACAGCCTTACCTCTGGTGTGAGAGCAGATTCTCAGCCTCCTCTGATAAGACTCCCCCAGTTTATTTATCTGAAATCACTAGAGAACGGTTAGTGAGTGAGAAAGAGCTTAACAGAGGACCAAAGTAGCACTAGTGGAAAGTGTAGGTCCTCAAAGAGATGGTCAGGTTATGGGCATCCAGTCAGGGGATGGGGTGGCGCAGGGCAATGAATGGCCATAGCACAAGGCTTCCACAAAATCTCCTCATCTGGATAATTTTATAAGTTCCTGAACCCTGAAGTTCCCTCAGGAAGGGCTCCTCATGATAGTGTCCTCCATATGGCTATAGCCTTAACTTTTATAGGGAGATACACCTCAAAACATCTTGAAATCCTCATTCCAGATTACCTTTATCTGAAAACCTGGTCTCGCCACACAGAGCTCTACCCACTTTTAGGTAAATGAGGACTAAGTGTGTCATAGAGTTGGCCAGTGGGTCTCCACCACCATCTGTGGCAGGTCCAGCCTGCCAAAATCAGGATCCCCACCACATCCTGGGGTGGACAGAAGAAGGGGCTATTCGCAGCAGGCCTGAGAAGGCTTGAACACATTTCTAGATGTATAGTGTGGGTTCCAAGAGACTGCTTGGTTCAGAAGTATAACAGCCTGTTGTGAAGAATCCTTCTGAAGCCTTCCCAGAACCAAAATGAGAACTCAGACATTTCATTCAACTCTTAGATGAGAAGTGATATATACCTATAGTAGCATATTTTCAAATAGTAAAATATTATTGCTTCCCTGACATACACCCTAAATGTTCATGGTGTTTTAGTCTTGTAATTTTCTACCACATTAAATTTGCTATTTTAAATTTGGATTTAGCACCTATATATTAATACATAAGATTTATTTTCTCTATACTCATCTGGACTTTTTAAAGGACATTAGTAGCTATGTGAAATAAAATGGGAATACTTTCAGTCGTTATCTATGCTCTTACACTGTTTATATAGCATGGGGATTACCCTACTCCTTGAAAGTCTGCATAATTCTCAGCAAACTATCACAAGGACAAAAAAGCAAACACCGCGTGTTCTCAATCATAGGTGGGAATTGAACAATGAGAACACATGGACACAGGAAGGGGAACATCACACACTCCGGGGACTGTTGTGGGGTGAGGGCAGGGGGGAGGGATGGCATTAGGAAATATACCTAATGCTAAATGACAAGTTAATGGGTGCAGCACACCAACATGGCACATGTGTACATATGTAACAAACCTGCACATTGTGCCCATGTACCCTAAAACTTAAAGTATAATAACAATAAAATTAAAATAAAAATAAAAATTAAAAAAAAGTCTGAAAAAACCTGTCTGAGGAATCCAGGCAAAATTTTTAGCATTTCTAAAAATTAGTGCATCCAATTTTTCACTGAAAATTGGCCAATTTTCTCCTTCAAGGATTAATGATACTATTTTCCTAGAAAAGTCTCCATCTCCTAGAGATTTAAAATGTATTAGCAAGATGTTGTACATAAATTTTATAACATAAAAGTTTTTAAACAGTTTTATAATAGTTATAAAACTGTTCAAAAACTGTGAGATCTGTCATACATACAGAGAGACATAAAATACACATATGCAGTTTAAAGAGAGAATTGCTCCCTACATGCCAGTCCTCATATACCATAATATTCATAATATTTATTCTACTATTTATGGACATTTGAGTTGTTTCCAGTTTGAGGATACTTCTAGAAATAATCTTGGAATATCCTTTTTTTTTTTTTTTACACGGAGTTTTGCTCTTTTTGCCCAGGCTAGAATGCAATGGCACGATCTCACCTCACCGCAACCTCCGCCTCCCGGGTTCAAGTGATTCTCCTGCCTCAGCCTCCTGAGTAGCTGGGATTACAGGCATGCGCCACCACGCCTGGCTAATTTTGTATTTTCAGTAGAGACGGGGTCTCTCCATGTTGGTCAGGCTGGTCTTGATCTCCCAACCTCAGGTGATCCACCCGTCTCAGCCTCCCAAAGTGCTGGGATTACAGGTGTGAGCCACCACGCCTGGCCAGAATGTTCTTATGTATGTCTCTTAGTCTAGAGCACTTGTGTAAGAGCTTATCTAGTATACTGACAGATGAATAGAATTGTTTGTTGCAAAGTGTGTTGCAACTTTAACAGATAATGTCAACTGATTTCCAAAGTGGATGTACAAATTTATATTCTTACCAGCAGTATAGAAGTACCTGTTGCTCCCTCATTCTTGTTAACACTTGTATTGCCAGACTTTGCAATTTCTTTTTTTTTTTTTTTTTTTTTTTAGACAGAGTTTTGCTCTTTTGCCCAGGCTGAAGTGCAGTGGTGCAATCTTGGCTCACCACAAACTTTGCCTCCCGGGTTCAAGCGATTCTCCTGCCTCAGCCTCCCCAGTAGCTGGGACTGCCGGTGCGTGCCACCATGCCGGGCTAATTTTGTATTTTTAGCAGAGACAGAGGTTCACCACGCTGGCCAGGCTGATCTTGAACTCCTGACCACAGGTGATCCGCCCACCTCGGCCTCCCAAAGTGCTGAGATTACAGGCGTAAGCCACCACACTCGGCCTAGACTTTGTAATTTTTGCCAGCTTGTTATGTAAGTAGTGATATTAGTTTGTATTTCCCTGATCACTTATGAAATTGAGCAGCTTTTCATAAGTATGTCAACCATTGGGATTTTCTCTTTGGTGAGGTATACATTCAGGCTTTTTGCCCATTTTTCTATTGGGTTGTGTATTTTTATAATATTGATTCCTAGAAGGTCATTTTCTATTCTGGATACTGGTCCTTTGTCAGTTATAAGTGTTGCAAATACAGTCTCCCATTTTGTGGATTGTTTTTGTTTTAATGGTATTTTCTTGACAAAAATAATTCTTAAATTTAAGGTAATCAAAATTATGAACCTTTTCCCTTTGAGTTAGTGCTTCTTATCTCTTACTTAAAAAAAATTTTCCTACCCCCAAGATCTTAGATATTGTCTTCTAAAAGCTTTATAATTTTGACTTTCACATGTAGGTTTCTAGTCCATTTGGAATTGATTTTTGTGTGAAGTAAAAGTCTCATTTCATCTCTCCTATATAGATAGCCAATATTCCTAGTTTTTGAGTTTTTTTGTTGTTGTTTTGTTTTGTTTTGTTTTAAGACACAGTCTCACTCTGTCGCCCAGGCTGGAATGCAGTGGCGTGATTGGCTCACTGTGACCTCCGCCTTCCCGGTTCAAGCGATTCTCCTGCCTCACCCTCCCCAGTAGCTGGAACTACAGGGGTGCACCACCACACCTGGCTAATTTTTTTGTATTTTTAGTAGAGATGGGGTTTCACTGTATTAGTCAGGATGGTCTCGATCTCCTGACCTCATGATCCACCCGCCTCAGCCTCCCAAAGTGCTGGGATTACAGGCGTGAGCCACTGCACCCAGCCCCCTAGTATTTTTAATTGGAAAGTTCATCATTTCCTCATTAATTCTGTATGCCATGCTTATATAAAAGGCCATAAATTTTTGGTTCTGTTTTTTGATTCCATTGACATAGTTGTCCATCTTTGAACTAACACCATGCTGTTTCAGTTTAGCTTTACAAGAAGTTTAAAATATGGGAGGATGAGTCCTCTCACCTTATTTTCAAAAGTGTGTTAGCTATTCTTGGTTCTTTGAATATCCAAAACAGCTTTTAGAGACAGTTTGTCAAGTTGAAAAAAAAACTGTTGGAAACTTGATTGTGACACCTAGATTAGTGCTGTTTAATAGAACTTTCCATAATAATAGAAATGTTCTATATATGTGTGGTCCAATATGATCCCTGGTAGCAACATGTACTATTAAGCACTTAAAATATGGCTAATATGACTGGAGAGGTGAATTTTTAAATTTAAATTAATTCAGCCAGGCATGGTGGCTCACACCTGTAATCCCAGTACTTTGGGAGGCTGAGACGGGTGGATCACTTGAGACCAGGAGTTCAAGACCAGCCTGGCCAACATGGCAAAACCCTGTCTCTACTAAAAATACAAAAATTAGCCAGGTATGGTGGCCTGTGCCTGTAATCCCGGCTACTCAGGAAGCTGAGGCACTAGAATCTCTTGAACCCGAGAGGCAGAGTTCAAGAGAGCTGACATCGTGCCACTGCACTCCGGCCTGGGCAACAGAGCCAGATTCTGTCTCAAAAAATAAAAATAAATTAATTCAAATGTGAATAGCAATATGTGGCTAGTGGCTACTGTATTGGACAGGATCGCTACATAGCATCCTGAGGAGAATTGACATCTTTACAATATAGAATCTTTCAGTTCATGAACATGGTGTATCTTCCACTTAGGTCTTTTAATGTTTCTCAAATAAAGTTTGAAATATACTCTAGAAAGAAACTGATCAACTTTTATTAGATTTATTCCTAAGTACTTTATAATTTTGAAATTATTATAAATATTACCTTTTTCATGTTTCATAACTACTTAATGCTGGCAGGCAATACACACACACACACACACACACACACACACACACACACACACACATAATGTACCCTGCAATTAATGGCTATATATATATATACATATATAGCCATTAATTTTTTATCAATTGGGTTGTATCCAGTGTACCTATAGATACATTACAGATGTTATATTACGAACTTGCATTCCTAGAACAAAATTAACATGTTCATAATGTGTGTTACCCCTCTCATTTACTGCTGGATTTGATTTGCCTGTATTTTGTTCAGGACTTTTGTATTCCATGTGAGACTGGTCTATAATTTCCCTTTCTTGAACAATCCCTTTTGCGTTTTTGTATAAAAAGTATTCCCTCTTCTTTAGACCCTGAAAGAGTCTGTATAAGAACAGAATTATTTATTTATTAAATGTTTGATAGGGCTTTCTGTTGAAGCTGTCTATACTTAGAGCATCTTTTGGGGGAAGATTTTTGACGAATTCCTTTAATGGTTATAGGACTACTTGGGTTTTTAATTTATTCGCAAGTCTTCTGGGTTATATTTATTTGTCCATTTCATCTAAATTTTCAAATGTTTGTGATAATGTCCTTCATAATCTCTTCCTACTATCTTTCTAATGTCTGAATCATCTGAGTTACTCATTCCTGAAATAATTTTTTGCATCTTTTTGTCTTAATTAATCTTGCCAAAAGCTTCCCAATTTTAGTCTTTTAGCAGACCAATTTTGGGCTCTCTTGATCATCTCCTTTTAGTCAGGTATTCAAAAACATATGATACACCCATTTAAAGTGTATAATTCAATGGTTTTTAGTTATTCACAAAGTTGTGCAACCATCGCTGCAATCTATTCCTAGAATATTTTCATCAGGCCCCAAGAAAGCCTGTACCTGTTAGCAGTTGTTCATTTCCCATTCCTCCCCCTCCTTTACAAGCTCCAGGCAGCCACTAATCTTTCTGTCTCTATAGATTTGCCTATTCTGGGCATTTTACGTGAATAAAATAATACAATATGAGGTCTTTTGAAATATTTTATGTGAATAAATATGTGGTCTTTTGAAACATCACAATATATTACTGACTTCTTTCACTCAACATGTTTTCAAGGTTCTTCCATGTTGTTGCATGTATCAGTACTTCTTTACTGCCAAATAATGTTCTATTATATAAATATACTGCATTTTGTTTATCTAGTCGCAATTGATGGACATTTAGGTTGTTTCCAGTTTTGGTCTATTATTGTTTGCTCTTGTGAATAGCACAGCAGTGAACATGTGAATGCATATGTCTTTTTGGTAGAATGATTTATTTTCTTTTGGTATGTAGACAGTAATGGGATTGCTGTGTTGAACTGTAGCTCTGTTTTAAGTTCTTTGAGAAATCTCCAGACGGCTTTCCACGATGGCTAGACTAATTTACATTCCCAACAACAGTGAATAACAGTTTTCCTTTTTCTCTGCAGCCTCACTAGCATCTGTTGTTTTTTTTTGACTTTTTATAAGCTATTCTGACTGGTGTAAGATGGTATCTCATTGTGGTTTTGATTTGTATTTACTTGATGATTAGTGATGCTGAGAATTTTTTCATATGTTTGTTGGCCACTGTGTATCTTCTTTTGAGAAATATCTGTTCATATCCTTTGCCCATTTTTAAGTGGGTTATTTGGTTTTTGCTTGTTGATTTGTTTGAGTTCCCTATAGATTCTAGATATTAGGCCTTTGTCAGACACATAGTTTGCAAATATCTTCCCCTATTCTGGAGGTTTTCTGTTTTTCCAATGACAGTTTCCTTTCTGTGCAGATGTTCTTTAATTAGGACCCACTTGTCTATTTTTGTTTTTGTTGCTACTGCTTTTGGAGATTTAGCCAAAAATTATTTGCCAAGGTCAATGTCAAGAAGAATATTTTCCAGTCTTGTTTTCCCAGATTTTTATAGTTTGATGTCTTACATTTAAATCTTTAATCCATTTATCCCAGCACCATTTAATGAATAGGGAGTCTTTTCCCCCTTGCTAGTTTTTGTCAGCATTGTTGAAGATCAGATGGTTGGTAGGTGTGAAGCCATATTTCTAAGTTTTCTATTATGTTCCATTAGTCTACATGTCTGTTTTTGTACCAGTACCATGCTGTTTTGTTTACTTTATTATATAGTTTGAAGTAAGGTAGTGTGATGCCTCCAGCTTTGTTCCTTTTGCTCAGGACTGCTTTGGCTATTTGGGCTCTCTTTCAGTTCCATATGAACTTTTAATATTTTTTTCAAATTCTGTGAAGAATGACATTGATAGTTTGATAGGAATAGAACCGAATTTATAAACTGCTTTGGGCAGTATGGCCATTTTTATGATATTGATTCTTCTTATCCATGAGCATGAAATGTTTTTCCATTAATTTGTGTCATCTCTGATTTCTTTCAGCAGTGTTTTGTAGTTCTCCTTGTAGACGCCTTTCACCTCCTTGGCTAGATGTATTCCTAGGTATTTGATTTTCTTGTGGCTATTGTAAGTGGAATTGTATTCTCGACTTCACTCTCAGCCTGGACATTATTGGTGTATAGAAATGCTATTGCTTTTTGTATATTGACTTAGTATCCTAAACTTTACTAAAGTTGTTTATCAATTCTAGGAGCCTTTTGGCAGAGTCTTTAAGATTTTCTAGGTATAGAATCCTATCATCAGCAAAGACAGATAGCTTGACTTCTTCTTTTCCTGTTTGGAGGCCTTTTATTTCTTTCTCTTGCCTAACTGCTCTGGCTAGCACTTCCAGAGCTATGTTGAATAGGAATAGTAAGACTGGGCATCCTTGTCTTGTTCCAGTTCTCAAGGGGAATGGTTCAAGCTTTTGCCCTGAATTCAGTACGATGTTGGCTATCGGTTTGTCATAGATGGCTCTTATTATTTTGAGGTATATTCCTTCAATGTCTAGTCTGTTGAGGGTTTTTATCATGAAAGGATATTGGATTTTATTGAAAGCTTTTTCTGGGTCTATTGAGATGCAGTGTTAAGAGAGTAATTTCATAATGATAGAGTCAATTCACTCTAAATGTATTTGCACCTAATAACATAGCTTCAAAATACATGAAGCAAAAACTGATAGAACTCCAAGAAAATAAACAAAACATAATTATAGTCAAGGTTTCAATACTCCTCTCTGAATAACTGATGGATCAAGTAGACAGAAAATCAACAAGGATATAGGACACTTAAATAAGACTATCAACCAATTTGATTTGAACTCCATCAATAACAGAATATTCTTCTCAATTGTACATGGAACAGTTACCAAGACAGATAATGTTCTAGGTTCTCAAACAAGTCTCAATACATTGGAAAGGATGTAAGTGGTACAAAATATGTTCTCTGACTACAATGAAATCATATTACAAATCAATAGCAGAAGAGCTCTGGAAAATACTCAAATATTTGGGAACTAAATATACTTCTAAATAACCCATGGATGAACGAAGAATGCAAAATGGATATTAAAATGTATTTTAAATGGAATTAAAATGAAAACACAACATATCAAAATCTGTGAGATGCAGCTAAAACAGAAAGTTTGTACTACTAAATGCCTACGGGGGTATGGGGGAGGAGGTAAAAAGGTCTCAAATCAATAATCTCAGCTACACTTTAAGAAACCAGAAAATGAAGAGCAAATTAAACCCAGAATAAGTAAGAAAATATAAACAATAAAGACTAGACTGGAAATTAAGGACGTAGAAAACAGAAAAATTGTGGAGAAAAATCAATGAAAGCAAAATCTGGTTCTTTGAGATCAAGAAAATTGGACAATCTTTGTGTAGATTCATGAAAACAAAAAGAGAGAGGATTCAAAATTTCCATAACAGAATGAGACAGTGGACATCCTACAATTATTAAAAGAATAATAAGGGAATATTGTGAGCAATTGCATGACAATAAACTAGACAACTTAGATGAAATCGCAAATTCCTTACAAGTCCAAAGCTCACTCAAGAAAAGGAAATAATAGCTCTATATGTGATAAATGTATTTAAACTTGTTAAAGAAATTAGATAGCTCTATATTTGTTAGTTAAAAACTTTCCCACAATGCCCAGATGCTTCACTGGTGAATTCTACCAAACATTTATGGAAGAAATAAACAATTCTACACATATTATTTCTAAAACAGAAGAGTAAGAAACACTTCTTAACTCATTTTAAAAGGCCAGCATTACCCTGATATCAAAACCAAACAAAGATATTACAAAACAAAACTATTTAATAAATATCCCTTATGAACATCAGTGCAAAAATTCTAAACAATCAATCAATTGAATTTGCAACATATAAGAGGGACAATACATCACGATCAAGTGGAGTTTATTCCAGGAATACAATACTGGTTTAACATTCAATTTAAAAATCAATAAATGTAATTCACCATATTAACGCACTAAAAAAGACAACTCACGAGCATCTCAATAGATGCAGCGAAAGGATTTGATAACATCCAACATCCATTACTGACTAAAAAAAAAAAAAAAAAAGAATTTTCAGCAAACATGAAATAAAGAAGAATTTCCTCAATCTAATAAAGGGTATCTATAAAAAAAACCTATAGCTAGCATTATACTTAAAGATGACCAATTAATACTTTTTCCCTAAGATGGACCAAGGCAAGGATATCTGCTCTCATTACTTTTTCAACCTAGTATTATACAGTCTTATTAGTGCAATAAGGCAAGAAAAAGAAAAAATATATACAGATTGGAAAGGAAGAAATAAAACTGTCCCTATCTGCAGATAACATGACTGCATGACTGTGTATTAAAAATCCCAAAGAATCTGAAAAAAACAAAATAAAAAAAATTCTTAGAAGGAATAAGTGAATTCAGCAAGGTCACAGGATATGAGATTAATGTACTAAAACCCCATTGTAATTCTATATATTAGCAATGAATAATCAGAAATTGTAATTATAAAATAATACCATGTATAGTAGCACCAAAATATGAAATACTTAGGGATAAATCTCACAAACTATATGTAAGATCTATACACTGAAAACTATAAAACTTTGCTTAAAGAAATAAAGACAAACAAATGAAGAGATAGACCATGTTCACAGATTTAAAGACTCCATATTGTTAAGATATCAATTCTCCACAAACTGATCAATAGATATAATATCAATTAAAATCTCAGCAAGGTTTCTTGAGGAAATTGATAGGCTAATTATAAAATATGGAAAGCAAAGGACCTAGAATAGCCTGATCTTGAAAAAAAACAAATTTGGAGGATTTATATTACCTGATTTTAAAACTTATTACAAAACAATAGTAATGAAGGCAGTTTGGAGACGGTGACAATGTTGACAAATGGATCAACAGAACACAACAGAATGTCCAGAATAATACCAAGACATATATGGTTAAAAGGTTTTCAATCAAGATACAAAGGCATCTCAATAGAGAAAGTACAGCCTTTTCAGCAAATGGTGCTAAAACAATTGGATATCCAAATGCCACAAAATGAACTTGAATCCAACCCCAGCACCATATTTTTAAAAGTTAACTCAAAATGGGTCATAGACTTGAATATAATGCCTAAAACTCTAAAACTTCTAGAAGAAAACATAGGAGAAAATCTTTATGATGTTGTTATGCAAAAATTTCTTTAGATAGAATACCAAAAGCAAGGTCTATAAAAGAAAAAAAATCAGAGATTGAACTTCATCAAAATTAAGAACTTCTCTCTTTGAAAGACACTATAACTGGGCATGAGGTTCATGTCTGTAATCCTGGCTACTCTGGAGACTGAGGTGGGAAGATCACTTGAGCTCAGGAGTTCAAGTCCAGCCTACGCAACATAGTAAAATACTATCTTAGGAAAAAAAAAAAAAGACAAATCACAGACTGAGAGAAGATATTTTAAAATCATGTATCTGATAAAAGACTTGGTATCGAGAAAAAAAACAGCTGTCTAAACTCAATAATAAGGAAACAAACAAATCAATACTAAACGGGTCAAAGATTTGAACAGACATTACACCACAGAAAATACATGGATTACAAATACACACATGAAAAGAAGTTCAACATCATTGGTCATTAAGAAAATGCAAATTAAAACCACAATAACATCCCACTACTCACTTATTAGAATGTATAATTTTAAAAGACTGACTATATCAGCCAGGCGCAGTGGCTCACACCTGTAATCCCAGCACTTTGGGAGGCTGAGGAGGGCGGATCACTTGAGGTCAGGAGTTTGAGACCAGCCTGGTCAACACGGTGAAACCCCATCTCCACTAAAAATACAAAAATTAGCCCGGCATAGTGGTGCACGCCTGTAGTCCCAGGTATTCAGGAGGCTTAGGAAGCAGAATTGCTTGAACCCAGGAAGCAGAGGTTGCAGTGAGCCAAGATCATGCCACTGCACTCCAGCCTGGGCAACAGAGCGAGACTCCATCTCAAAAAAAATTTTAAAAAGACTGACTATATCAAGTGTCAGTGAGTATGTAAAGCAACTGGAACTCTCAGATACTGCTGGCAAGAGTGTAAAAATGGTTTAACCACCTTTTAAGAAATTGATATATCATATTTGTACATATTTTGGAGTACATGTGATATCTTGATGCATGTGTACAATGTGTAAAGATCAAAGCAGGGTAACAGGGGTATCCATCACCTCAAACATTTATCTTTTCTTTATGTTGGAGATAGCCAATTCTTCTCTTCTAGCTATTTTGAAATATACAGCGAATTATTGTTAACTATAATTTCCCTAATGTACTAATGAATACTAGAGCTTATTCCTTCTACCTAACTGCACTTTTGTACCCATTAGCCACTTTGGAAGGCAGTTTGACCGTTTCTTTAAAAGTTAAACACACACATTCCATGTGACTCAGCCATTCCATTCCTAGATATCAACCCAAGAGAAGTGAAAGTATACATCCATTCAAAGACTTACATATGAATATGCACTGAAGTTATCTAGTAATAATTTAAAACTGGAAACAATTCAAATGCATAACAACAGAGACTAAATAAATTGTGTCTATCCATACAATGAAATATTACTCAGCACTAAAAAGCATAAGTGGTTGATAAAAGCAACAATATGTGTGAATCTCTAAGTAATCATGCTTAGTGAAATAAGTCAGAGAAAAAAAAGTATATTCTTTATAATTCCATTTTTATAAATTCTAGAAAATAAAAAAAATCTTTGGTGTTAGTAGATCAGACATTGGTGACAAGATGAGGCTGGAAGGATAAATAAAAGAGGAGTACAAGGAAACTCTGGGTGTGTTTGATATGTTCCCTATTTTTCATTTTTATTAATTGTTTTTATGAGTATATGCATATTTTAGAACTTATAAGATTGTATTCTTTAAATATGTGAGCTTGTTGTACATCAATTGAACTTCAAAAATCTGATAAAAACAAACAAAACAAAAACAAAACTAAGGGGAAGACAGAGTTATTACCTTCAACTTATCCACCTCATAAAGGTCTTCAGTAGCATTTTTGTGTGAGTTAGTGGATTTACTCAGAGCCATTGCTGTTACCATCCCTTTGCAACAACTGCAAAAAGGGGGAAAAAAAGAAAAAGAAAAAGAGCAAATACACACTCAGCATAACCTATTTATTGCTGGTTCTTCTTCTAAGTGTTTAAAATTTTAAAAATCCAGACAAAGTGGAAGTTCACCATAATAATTCAGCTACTGACTCACCAAGGAGAATAATTTGTCTCCTCAATTTCTTACCCTTGTCCTCCTTCTCCCTTCCATCCCTCTTATTCTTGACCCTTAGTAATACTGAATTGAAATGAAGGGAAAATTTGCTTAGAATGCAAAAGCTACTTCCTGAATTTAAAGTAATGATAGCATCAAGCTTGCATCTCAGTTAATAGATTACAATTTTCCAGACTTCATCTTTATTCAGTGGAAATCTTCTAGCTTTTCAGATATAAGGGTTTGTGGGTTGTTGTTTTTTTTTTTCTTCCATTTTGTAAAAAGAAGTTTTGGTTGGCATTTAGTGAAGCACATAAAAGTATACATTCAGGGCTGGGCATGGTGGCTCATGGCTGTAATTCCAGGACTTTGGGAGGCCAAGGTGGGCAGATCACTTGAGATCAGGAGTTCGAGACCAGCCTGGCCAACATGGCAAAACTCTACCTCTACTAAAAATACAAAAATTACCCAGGCATCGTGGTGCATGCCTGTAAATCCCAGCTACTCAGGAGGCTGAGGCACAAGAATCTCTTGAGCCTGGGAGGTGGAGGCTGCAGTGAGCCGAGATCACGCTACTACATTCTAGCCTCGGTGACAGAAGAAAACTCTGTCTAAAAAAATACATGACGGTACACAAGAAACTACAATATTCTTCTTAAATCCACTCCCTCACCAGTATGTGTAAAAGTGTAAGATGTGTCTTATTTATGCAAGAAAGTGAGTCCTTTTTTCCTAATTCTTACTCCCACATACACACACTTCTCATCCTGCCCGTGCCAACAGTTTTCAAAAGAAAAACCAAAATCTCATATTATAACTGCTCACAGTGTTAAAGCTAGTTGAAAAACTGAACTAGTATTTCTTTCAAGGTTTTAAAATAACTCCTATTGCTACTACTTCACTGTCTCTTCTCTGTTATATGCGACATTCAATTCTTCAAAAGGGCAACAATAAAATAACCGCTTCACCTGCTCAAATAGCTGGAGTATTGGTACAACTTCCTTGTCAGTTCAATCGCATCTAGCTCCAATCGCGCAACTCCTATATCATGTTTCTCAGCACTTTCCTCCTCCAACTTTAGGAGACAGTCTTGGTCAGTAAAGTTGGGTATCATTAAAATCAGCAAGTTTACCATCCACTGGATCATAGATATATGTAACTCATCCATCTGTTAAAAAATGAGTATAATACAAATGACCCACTTTAAATAAATCAAACAGTAAAAATCACACCAAATTTTAAAATAGAAATGATCGTGCCTGTGTCCAACTTTCAACATTATAATTCTTAATGAAATCAAGTCATCAGCTAGCATGACCCTATTTTCTTTTGCTCACTACATGACACTAAGCTACTCTCTTCTTTTTATTGATATCTATTTATTTAATTTTTTTGAAACGGGGTGTCACTCTGTTGCCCAGGCTGGAGTGCAGAGGCATAATCATAGCTCACTGCAACCTTGACCTCCCCAGGCTCAGGTGATCCATCCATCTTAACCTCCTGAGTAGCTGGGACCACCATGCCTGGCTAAGTTTTGTGTTTTTTGTAGAAATGGGCTTTCACCATGTTGCCCAGGCCGAACTTGAACTGCTGGGATGAAGCAATCTGCCCACCTCAGCCTCCCAAAGTGCTAGGATTACAGGCGTGAACCACACGCCCAGCCACTGATCTCTTCTTTAGCCTGGCCATAGATAATAACCTGTGAGAACCTACAATTCTCAAATTGCACATCAAGGCATTCCAGGGCTCCACAGCAAACTCACAAGGATGCCATAGGATTTTAAATTGAGGGAAATAACAGTAATATGTAACATCTACCAGACACAGCATGAACTTAACACAATTCACAGTTTTCAACTTTAGATGCCCTATATTAATTTTGATGACATCATATCTTTTTGAAACTGGTTTGATTGGTGGTTGTGTGATAAAAAAAAAAAAAACAAGTACTGTGTGAAAATTAACATGGAACAGGAAATGAAGGTGGTAACGTCCAATCTGATTCCAAGGTCAGAGAAGCTGTACCATGCCAAAAGTACATGCCTTACATTGGTAAGTGGTATTGATTAAATGAGAATAAAATAAAAGGTTTTTTCTTTCAATGTATGTGTAGTACTTTTCCAAATGGTTAATAAATTGTTAGGACATTAAATATTTAGTAAGCGGTTTGAACCTACCTACTTAATAAACTTAACTGTGAGGTATTTCTTTTGGCTTAGGAGTGTGAAAATATTGAAACCCAAAGGGCACTGTGAATAGAGAAAGTTTGAGAACCTCTGCATGACAGTATTTGCTGAGGCTAGGTCCCAGAAATAAAATGCAGAAAACCTGTATGCAAAATTCAGACACACCATACTTTTCAAATACCCTACTCCCTTTCGCTGTTTGGTTAGTTCTGGAGTATTTCTCTAGGCTTAAACATGATCTACTCTGAGAAGACTTACCAGTTTCCACTGGCTCTAATTTGCTCCCTTTCCCATGTTTTTACAGTACTTTGTATATATCTCTGTTATAGTCATTTGCACATCTATCTCCTCAATTAACCTGTCTGTAAGACATGAGCCATCAACTTATCCCTGCATACCACACAGTACTTATCAGGGAGTAAGTTCTTAGTAAATGTTTCTTGAATGAATGAATAAAAATAAAATGTAGTAGCCTAGGCCGGGCGCGGTGGCTCACGCCTGTAATCTCAGCACTTTGGGAGACCGAGGCAGGTGGATCACGAGGTCAGGAAATCGAGACCATCCTGCCTAACATAGTGAAACCCAGTCTCTACTAAAAATACAAAAAATTAGTCGGGCGGGGTGGTGGGCGCCTATAGTCCCAGCTACTCGGAGGCTGAGGCAGGAGAATGGCTTGAACCCGGGAGGCGGAGCTTGCAGTGAGCCGAGACGGTTCCACTGCACTCCAGCCTGGGCGACAGAGCGAGACTCCGTCTCAAAAAAAAAAAAAAAAAAAAAAGAAAAGTAGTAGCCTATCCAATAAAAACCCAAACTTCCTGCTTCTTGATTCAGACAGGAAGGTTGTTAATGACCTAAAGCAACGTTGATTAATGTATTTGACACCTGAATTTATGTATCAGGAAAAGGGGCAACCTTTCCTGAGAAAGAGTTAAAAAGGCAAGTCTTTTTCACAAGAAAAAGATACTACTTCCTTACATATTCTACTAGTTATGTCCCTGCTGCTTCTTTGTGAAAATACATAAATTCCTAACTATTCTTTCATATACCAATGGCCTAGATTATACTATCATTGAAACAACTCATTTTTGCTTACATAAAATATTAATCAATCCTTGGACTATCCTTAGGAAATAAGCACAAATAGATGTTATTATCTTAATTTAAAAGTTATATTAGAGAGATTAAATGGTAGAATCAAGGTCAAATAATAAATCATAGGTGAATTTAAAATTAAAATAAATTAAAAACAAAGAATATCTTTTACTTTCCTAAAGATATGTAATTCTTTTTAATGAGATGGAAAGTGAATATAATTTTTGTGCTAAAATATAGATTTACTGTGATTCTTATATAAAATTCTTAAAAGACATTTTAAGATGAATTGACTGCTTTTCTTTTGTGAAAAGACTTCTTCCAAATTTACTAATCTTTTCAGGGATAACAAGTGAGTAATTAGCCACTTCTTAGCTGATATTAAGAAATAAATGTGCCAGGTGTGGTAGCTCACACCTGTAATCCCAGCACTTTGGGAGGCCGAGACAGGTGGATCATGAGGTCAGGAGTTCAAGACCAGCCTGGCCAAGATGGTGAAACCTGGTCTCTACTAAAAATACAAAAATTGGCCTGGTGTGGTGGCACGCGCCTGTAATTCCAGCTACTTGGGAGGCTGAGGCAGGAGAATCACTTGAATCCAGGAGGCAGAGGTTGCAGTGAGCTGAGAACGTGCCACTGCAGTCCAGCCTGGGTGACAGAGCGAGACTCCATTTCAAAAAAAAAAGAAAGAGAGAGAGAGAAAGAAAGAGAGAGAGAGACAGAGAGAGGAAAGAAAGAAAGAAAGAAAGAAAGAAAGAAAGAAAGAAAGAAAGAAAGAAAGAAAGAAAGAAAGGAGAGAGAGAGAGAGAAAGAAAGAAAGAAAAAGAAAGAAAGAAAGAGAGAGAGAAAGAAAGATAGATCAGGCCAGGTATGGTGGCTCATGCCTGTAATCCCAGCACTTTGGGAGGCCAAGGTGGGAGGATTGCCTGAGCTCAAGAGTTCAAGACCAGCCTGGGCAATTTGGTGAAACCCCATCTCTATAAAAACCAACCAAACAAACAAACAAAAAAAACCACACACATACTTAATTTGTCCCTTTCAAATATATGTGAAATTTAACAATGAGCAAAAGAAACTTATACTATGGAGAGGTTGTTTTGAAAATGAATAGGAGGAAATATTTCCATCTTGGTGTGAGTTTGTTGCTAAAAATGAAACACAGCTCACCTTTTAAAAGTCTAAAATCTACATATATATAAAATCTGGAAGTATGTTTCTAATCTTTTTAAAAATCTTAGAAATAAAGCATTTCAATTGGCTGGGAACACTTTGTTAAAATATAGGAATGCTACACTGTCTAATGTTTTAGACAACTGTAAGAACAACTGATTGACATTATGATAGATGGAAAAAATTACTAGTTAATTTAAAAAAAACCTTTGCATAACTGATTGACGGAATTGAAATTTCTCTTTTTTTTTTTTTTTTTTTTGAGACATGGTCTCACTCTGTTTCACAGGCTGGAGTGCAGTGGCACAATCATAGTTTAGTGCATCCTTGACCTCCCAGGCACAAGAGATCCTCTCACCTCAGCCTCCCAAGTAGTTGGGACTATAGGTGTGTGCCACCATGCCCGGCTAATTGTTTTATTTTTTGTAGAGATGAGTTCTCACTGTGTTGACCAGGTTGGTCTTAAATTCCTGGGCTTAAAGCAATCCTCCCACCTTGGCCTTACAAAGTGTCGAGTTACAGGCATGAGCCATCACGCCTGGCCTGATTGATGGAAATGAAAAGTGAATATTATCATTCTAATGATGTATTTCTTCAATTTGGATTCATGTTTCTTTCTGAGCTATCATTTCAGCAGTGACTGCCATTAAAAATTAGTATTGAAGGAAACTGAATTTAGAAGCAGACCTTCAAATAGCTTTATAATCACAAGTTTAATCTGCAATTTAAACCTGCAATTATAAAAAATCATGAAGCTTTTCAATCAGTTTTTTGAACCATTACCAAAAATCATTTTTAAATATTGTTAATTTCATACATTTGGCTTTCTGTATATGTTTTATAATGTACCAAACATGTCAACTGAGTAATTTTTGCATGCAAATCAGAAATAGTAAGTTAGAAAGGCTTGCTCAAAGACTTTTTGCTAATGGAGGTACATAATAAAAAACGTTTAGTGGCCAGTGTTTTAGACAGCCAAGCAGCACAGGTAAAATGAAGTAAGGAGGCAAAGGAAAAACAATGACAAAAAAACTGGAGATAAGAACATGGATCAGGAGGGAAAATAAATGTCTGTTTTTTCTGAAATTAGAATAGCAACTCTTGTTTTTACAGTTTTCCATTTGCTTGGTAGATTTTTCTCCATCCTTTTACTTGGAGACTTTGGGTGTCACTGCATGTGAGACAGGTCTCTTGAAGACAGCAAACTATTAGGTTTTGTTTCTTTATCCAACTTGCCACTCTGTGCCTTTTAATTGGGGCATTTAGCCCATTTATGTTCAAGGTTAGTATTGATATGTGTGGATTTGATCCTGTCATCATGTTGTTAGCTGGCTACTATGCAGACTTGTTTGGTTGCTTTATAGTAGTCTAAATACCCAAGTGTGTATTTGTCGTGGCTGGTAATGGTCTTTCTTTTCCATATTTAGCACTCTCTTCAGGACCTCCTGTAAGGCACATCTGGTCACAAAAAATTCCCTCAGCATTTGTTTGTCTAAAAAGGATCTCATTTCTCCTTTGCTTATGAAGCTCAGTTTGGCTAGATATGAAGTTCTTGTTTGGAATTTCTTTTCTAAGAATGCTGAACATAAGCCCACAATTTCTTTTGGCTTGTAGGATTTCTGCTGACATGTCTGCTGTTAGCCTTATGGAGTTTGCTTTGCAGGTGACCTGCCCCTTCTCTCTACCTGCCTTTAACATTTTTTCTTTCATTTCAACCTTGGAGAATCTGATGACTATGTGTCTCATGTATGGTCTTATTTTGTAGTATTTTTCAGGGGCTCTCTGCATTTCCTGAATTTGAATGTTGGCCCCTTTAGTGAGGTTGTGAAAATTTTCATGGATGATATCCTGAAATATGCTTTCCAAATTGCTTGGTTTCACTCTCTCTCTTTCAGGAATGCCAATGAGTTGTATATTTGATATTTTTACATAATTTCATATTTCTCAGAGGTTTTGTTCATTCATCTTTATTGTTTTTTATTTTTGTCTGACTGAATTATTTCAGAGAACCAGTCTTCAAACTCTGAGATTTTTTTCCTCAGCTTGGTTGATTCTGCTGTTAATACTTGCAATTGCATTATGAAATTCTTGTAGTGTGTTTTTCATTTCTATCAGGTTTTTTTTTTTTTTTTTTTTTTGAGACAGAGTTTTGCTCCTGTTGCCCAGGCTGGAGTGCAATGGCACGATCTTGGCTCACTGCAACCTCCGCCTCCCAAGTTCAAGTGATTCTCCTGCGTCAGCCTCCTGAGTAGCTGGAATTACAGGTGCCCACCACCATGCCTAGCTAATTTTCTGTATTTTTAGTAGAGATGGGGTTTCACTATGTTGGCCAGGCTGGTCTCGAACTCCTGACCTCAGTCGATCCACCCACCTCAGCCTCCCAAAGTGCTGGGATTACAGGCATAAGCCACCGCGCCTGGTGGTTCTTTCTTATAATGGCATTTCATCTATCAGCTCCTGTATCATTTTATTGTAATCCTTAGATTCTTTGGATTGAGTTTCAACTTTCTTGTACGTTGATGATCTTTGTTCCTATACATATTCTGAATTCTATTTCTGTCATGTCAGCCTGGTTAAGAAACATTGCTGGGGAACAGTGTGGTCGTTTGGAGGTGAGAAGACACTCTGGCTTCTTGAGTTGCCAGAGTTCTTGTGCTGGCTCTTTCTAATCTTTGTGAGCTGATGTTCCTTCAGTCTTTGAAGTTGCTGTCCTTAGAATGCATTTTCTTTTGTCTTTCCTCCTCTTTGACATCCTTGGAGGTTTGATTCAGGTATAAGTTGGGTTCAGTCAACCTGCTTCATTTCTGGAAGATTTTAGGGGTCCAAGGCTCAGCTTAGGCCTTCTGGACTGCATGCTCTAACTCTAGGGTCTGGTATCAGGTCCCCAGCTTTGTTATCTGGCCCCTCAAGGTTAGGAACCTACTGTATTGGAAGAGCCAAGGTGTTCCCAGACCACTGGTCACAACACTCCAATGGGTGATGCCAGCCAAAGCAATTCATTAGGTGGTGACAGTGGGATCCGTGCTTGTTTACACATGCCAGGAGCAGCAGCAGTGCAGCAGGGTGCGTGCTCATCAGCTGTGGTGGGGCACTAATGAGGGCAGGGATGTGGACATTTGCAGTGGTGGCAGTGCAGCATGTTGCAGGGGGTAGCCCACCAATGTCCCTGTGCATGTTCACGCATGGGGGCCGAGTGCTGGCAGATGCAGGACTGGTAACCTCTGTGCACATACTCGCACAGGCAGCAGTGGCTGCACAAGGTGGGAGGCAGGTCTGCTGGCATCCATGTGTAGTTTCATGCCAGCAGCACTGTTGGCACAGTGGCGGGGCACTGGCAGGCACAAGGTTAGCAGTCTCTGTACCCATGAACACTCCAATGGCAATGGCAGTGCAGGACAGATTGTGGGGCCACTGGTCTCCTTGCATACCTTTGCATTGGTTATGGGGTGGGGAGTGTGATGCACTCACAGTGGCAGCAGTTGGCATGGTAGGGTGCATGTGCACATGTGCACTGGTGGGGAAGGAGGGGCAAGGTCTGAATACATGCAACCACACTAGCAAAGCAATGTAGGGGGTGGTCATGGGTGAGTGCACACTGGCAAATGGCATGGGGGAGGCTGTGATGGGTAGAGTACATGGGCGGGCTGGTGCTCATTAGTTGGGGGTGCTCTGCTGGAGCTCTCCAATGGTCAGGCATGGTCTGCCAGTACAGGAGCTATGATGCAGGCCCCTGGGAGGCACCTCAGCTGGGCATCCAAGGCTGCACTGCAAACAGGCATGGTCAGGCTGGAGTCCTGGGAGAGTCCACAAGACAGGGGGGTGCTCAGGTGAAACTGGCCCTGTCTTAGGGGCAAGATCACCCTGTATTGTTCAGGTCTGATAGTTCCCCTAAGATTAATGTCTCCTAAAGGAGCAAGGCAGGCCTTGGGGGATAGGCACCCCTGACTGTGCTCCACTATAGATGCTCCTGCACCAAACCCTCCAGGCTCCACACTAGCTGGGAGTACCACCCCTACCACCTCTCTAAGCAGCTCTCTCTGCCAGCTCAAGTGACTGTGGGGGTCCTGGGATATCCTGCTGTCTGAATTCCAGATGCCTACGGCAAGAGTAGGTCACTTCTCGCCTGCTTAGCTCACTTTTTCCCCAAGAGTCACTGGGGACCAGGAAGGAGTCCCAGTGTGTGGTATCCCTGTGCAGGGTTTCCAGCTTCCTCCTCCTTTAGCCCAGCATCTCTATCTTCCCTCTGTCCACCCTCAATGCCTTCCCTCTAAAGATATGCTTGGAGTGCACCAGTCTTTCCAATCTTCTAGTCCCTCAGTGGCAGATGTTTCTCCTGGCTGAATTTAGTCAGCCATCTTGTCTCCTATATCCAACTTTTCTGTTTCTAAATATTAATAAGAGTTAATATGGATACACAGGATACACATAATTCCTCATGGAGTTTACAATCTTGCAAATTTTCTACACAGATTAATTTTAATAATGCAGTGTTAAAATTGAGGTATATAAAGGCACTTTCTAAGTAATCCCACACTATAAAAATTAAATTCTAGAAAATAACAAATTGAGCATATGATTTCATGGAGATAAATCCCTAATGGTAAATCAAGCATTTTTGCCAAAGAAGGGATTAATGTAGCAGCACCATTAGATACCAACAGTGCTGGAATATTCTTCCTAAATTCATTCAACAAACATTTACTGAGTCCCACCATGTGACAAGCACTCTGTTACCCTTTTTCTTATTCATTTTGGTTGTCAGAGGAATTTCTCCCAAGCCTAGGGATTGCCTGAATCCGTACTACCAGCTTTAACATATTTGCTCATTGACTCTTCAATTGCAAAACTTCATTCCAGAGGCAGAAACATTCTGCTTTAAAAAATCCATTGAAAATTATTTGAGAAATTATTATACAAGCTTCTATTTTGCCCTCTCAACCTCCTGCTTCATTTAAATAGGGAGAGCATTATTTTTCCTTGAAGAAATTTGCCAGCCGAGGCAAAATATAACGTCAAAAACCCTTACAAGTACATACGTGGTGCTGAAGTTCAATGTTACCGTTGTTAATTTCATTGCCTATCTTCAAAAGCCATTGTTGAATCATGTTAAATATATACGCTTGGAGTACCCTGAAGGAAAAATCAAGTAAAATAAAAGTGACTGGCTGATTTAAAGGATAAATGTAACTATCAGCTATGAGAAAGAGTTTTATTTGGCTGGGTATTGTAAACTTAGATGTTGACAACTGCTTGAGAACTGAGGAAAGGGGAATCAAAGCCCTGAATTATCTAGTATGATAGTTTACTCACTGACAAAGCTTTCCTAACCCCCAAGTAGGTAGCAAGATGCACTTTGGACAAAGCAGATCTTACGTTCAATATTAGCTCTCTACTGTAAAAACTTACACCCTTTACATTTACTTCCAGGCCAGTACTATGTGAGAAGAATGAATTTTAAAATCCTCTCAATGAATGACTTCCAGCATGATAGTGTGAGGAGCAAGGCTGCCCTTTCCACCACCCACCACCCCCGAAACTGGTAACAATTATTTTTTTAAATACACCACTTAAAGCCTCTAAAAATGGTGCTATGGAGAAGTTCCAAAAACATCTATTCGAGAAAATCTATGAAGATTCAGTAAGAAAGGCAATAATCTATGGTATTTGAACCATGACTGCTCCTTCCTCTCCTTAGCTCAGTGAGGCAGCAACTCCATTTCAGAATGCTGTAGCCAAGAACACAGAGCTCCCTAACCCTCTAGCTCCCAATCAGATGGCTTTCTTCCATGGATTTTTATACTGCCTCCAGCTATCTGGTGTTGAGTCTAGGTACTGGGTAAATGCAGGTAACAAGTAGGGGTTGTCTTTTTCCACCCAGCCCCTATATATATAATAAATACTCTACCCTATGCATAGCATGCTGAGAATCATGGGTCCCTGATTGTCTGGGCTTGTAAGGCAGTGGTTCTACTCCATGAGAGGCAATCCAAGAAGACCTCAGGCTGCTACTTTCCCCTCTAAGGAGTTCTCAGGTCTGACAGTGTGAGTGTCACTCAGAGAGAAGCTTTCCATTGTCTCTACCCCCAGCTCTAGAGCCCTAGCTCAGAGATTTTGCCTGGAGATAGAAGAAGGCAAAAAAAAAAAAAAAAAAAAAAAAAATTAAAAAGCTCCTAATCTTGTCCCAAATAAACTAACTTCATTTGCAACGTAGCCTGAAGATGTTCAAACCTAAGGGTGCTTTAAAGAACAGTGGAGGTTTGGTGAAATGCAATTCAGTGGAGATTCAAGATATAGGTTAAACTGTAGGCTAACTAGTTTGCAGGAAACAACCAGGCACTAAGACAACTAGAAGAAGGCCACTTGAGTTCAGAACAAGATCAAACACTGATCTCAGGAATTATTCTTTCCAAGGAGCCAAAACTACATGAAAGTAGTTTTAGCACAATATATGCCCCAGAGAATTATTGAAAACAATAGATAATTTATGCAGCCAACAGACACATGAAAAAATGCTCATCATCACTGGCCATCAGAGAAATGCAAATTAAAACCACAATGAGATACCACCTCACACCAGTTAGAATGGCGATCATTAAAAAGTCAGCAAACAACAGGTGCTGGAGAGGATGTGGGGAAATAGGAACACTTTTACACTGTTGGTGGGACTGTAAACTGGTTCAACCATTGTGGAAAAGAGTGTGGTGATTCCTCAGGGATCCAGAACTAGAAATACCATTTGACCCAGCCATCCCATTACTGGGTATATACCCAAAGGATTATTAAATCATGCTGCTATAAAGACACATGCACACGTATGTTCACTGCGGCACTATTCACAATAGCAAAGACTTGGAACCAACCCAAATGTCCAACAATGATAGACTGGATTAAGAAAATGTGGCACATATACACCATGGAATACTATGCAGCCGTAAAAAATGATGAGTTCACGTCCTTTGTAGGGACATGGATGAAGCTGGAAACCATCATTCTCAGCAAACTATCGCAAGGACAAAAAACCAAACATCGCATGTTCTCACTCATAGGTGGGAATTGAACAATGAGAACACTTGGACACAGGAAGGGGAACATCACACACCAGGGCCTGTTGTGGGGTGGGGAAAGTGGGGAGGGACAGCATTAGGAGATATACCTAATATAAATGATGAGTTAATGGGTGCAGCACACCAACATGGCACATGTATACATATGTAACAAACCTGCACGTTGTGCACATGTACCCTAGAACTTAAAGTATAATTAAAAAAATATATAAAATAAAAAAATAAAAATGAATACATTTTATTTTAAATAAAAATAAATAAATAAATAAAAGCAAAAACAAACAAACAAAAAAGAAAACAATAGACCAATCAACTAGAAATTAGTGAAGTTTAACAGCTTGGTGTGGTCAAAGAAAAAGAAGCAAGCCTTGACAAAACACCACTGTCACTGCAGGGTGACAGTGGGCATACCCAAAAACTGCACCTTCTTGAGAGCAAGATCAGAGTCTTAATACAAGGAAGAGGGGGGTAGCAACCAAAGTTGCTACAGTATATTATCTAATATGTCCAGTATCCAAAAACCAAAAACAACAACAACAAAAAGAAACCTTACAAGGCATGATAAGAAACAAGAAAGTGTGACATATACACCAGGTAGGCAACAGAAACTGCCTGTGAGAGTGACCAGAACTCTGGTTTTTCAAAAACTTCAAAGTAGCTGATAAGGTTTGGCTATATCCCCACCCAAATCTCATCTTGAATTGTAGCTCCCATAATTCCCTCATGTTGTGGGAGGGACCCAGTGGGAGATAACTGAATCATGGGGGCGGTCTCCCCCATACTGTTCTCGTGGTAGTGAATAAGTCTAATGAGATCTGATGATTTTATAAGGGGAACCCCTTTCACTTGGCTCTCATTCTCTTCTCTTGTCTGCTGCCATGTGAGATGTGCCTTTCACCTTCCACCAGGATTATGAGGCCTCCCCAGCCATGTGGAACTCTGAGTCAATTAAACCCCTTTTCCTTTGTAAATTACCCAGTCTCAGGTATGTCTTTATCAGCAGCATGAGAATGGACTAACACAGTAAATCGGTACCTGGAGTGGGGAGCTACTGTAAATATACCCAAAAATGTGGGAGCGACCTTGGAACTGGGTAACAGGCAGAGGTTGGAACAGTTTGAAGGGCTCAGAAGAAGACAGGAAAATGTGGAACAATTTAGAACTTCCTAGACACTTGTTGAATGGCTTTGACCAAAATGCTGATAATGATATGGACAATGGAATCCAGGCTGAGGTGGTTACAGATGGAGATGAGGAACTTCTTGGGAACCGGAGCAAAGAAGACTCTTGTTATATTTAAGCAAAGAGACTGGCAGCATTTTGCCCCTGTCTTAGAGATTTGTGGAACTATGAGCTTGAGAGAGATTATTTAGAATATCTGGTGGAAGAAATTTCTTTCTTTCTTTCTTTCTTTTTTGAGATGGAGTCTCACTCCGTCGCCCAGGCTAAAGTGCAGTGGTGCGATCTCGGCTCACCGCAAGCACTGCCTCCCAGGTTCACGCCATTCTCCTGCCTCAGCCTCCCAAGTAGCTGGGATTACAGGCACCCACCACCATGCCCAGCTAATTTTTTGTATTTTTAGTGGAGACAGGGTTTCACCATGTTAGAGAGGATGGTCTCAATCTCCTGACCTCGTGATCCGCCCACCTCAGCCTCCCAAAGTGCTAGGATTACAGGCATGAGCCACCACACCCAGCCTTTTTCCTTTTTTTTTTTTTGAGACAGAGTTTCGCTCTTGTTGCTCAGACTGGAGTGCAATGGCATAGTCTCAGCTCACCACAATCTCCGCCTCCTGAGTTCAAGAGATTCTCCTGCCTCAGCCTCCCAAGTAGCTGGGATTACAGGCATGTGCCACCATGCCCAGCTAATTTTGTATTTTAGTAGAGACAGGGCTTCTCCATGTTGGTCAGGCTGGCCTCGAACTCCTGACTTCAAGTGATCCACCCGCCTTGGCCTCCCAAAGTGCTGGGATTACAGGCATGAGCCACTGCACCCGGCCAGTGGAAGAAATTTCTAAGAATCACAGCATTCAAGGGGTGACTTGGGTGCTGTTAAAGGTATTCAGTTTTATTTATTTTATTATTATTTTTTTGAGACAGAGTCTCTCTCTGTCTCACCCAGGCTGCAGTGCAGTGGTTTGATCTTGGCTCACTGCAGCCTCTACCTCCCAGGTTCAAGCGATTCTCCTGTCTTGGCCTCCTGAGTAGCTGGGACTACAGGCATGTGCCACCACACCCAGCTAATTTTGCATTTTTAGTAGAGATTGAGTTTCACCATGTTGGCCAGAGCTGGTCTCGAGCTCCTGACCTCAAGTGATCCACCTGCCTCAGCCTCCCAACATGCTGGGATTACAGGCATGAGTCACCATACCCAGCCAGGTATTCAGTTTTAAAAGGGAAACAGAGCATAAAAGTTCAGAAAATTTGCAGCCTGACAATGCAATAGAGACAAATATCCCATTTTTTAAGAGAAATTGAAGACAGCTGCAGAAATCTGCATAAGTAATGAGGAGCCAAATGTTAATGCCCAAGACAATGGGGAAAATGTCTCCAGGTCATGTCAGAGACGTTTGGGGCAGCCTCTCCTATCACAGGCCTGAAGGCTTAGGAGGAAAAAATGGCTTCATGGGCCAGGCCCAGGGTCCCTCTGCTGTGCCCTGCATCCCAGCTGCTCCAGCCATGACTAAAAGGGTCCAAGATACAGCTGGGGCCATGGCTTCAGAAAGTGCAAGCCACAAGCCATGGCAGCATCCACATGGTATTGAGCCTGCAGATGCACAGAAGCCAAAAATCAAGGTTTGGGAACCTTTGCCTAGATTTCAAGGATGTATGGAAATGACTGGATGTCCAGGCAGAAGTTTGCTGCAGGAGTGGGGTGCTAATGGAGAACGTCTGCTAGGGCAGTGCAGAAGGGAAATGTGAGGTGGGCACCCCCACACAGAGTCCCCACTGGTGTGCTGCCTAGTGGAGCTGTGAGAAAACGGCCACTGTCCTCCAGACCCCAGAATGGTAGATCCACCAACAGCATGCACCGTGTGCCTGGAAAACACGTAGACACTCAACCCCAGCCCATGAAAGCAGCCAGGAGGGAGCCTGTGCCCCACAAAGCCACAGAGGCAGAACTGCCCAAGACCATGAGAACCCACCTCTTGAATGAGCATGACCCAGATGTGAGACATGGAGTCAAAGGAGATCATTATGAAGCTGTAAGATTTGTCTGCCCTGCCGGATTTTGAATTTGCATGGAGCCAGTAGCCCTTTTGTTTTGGCCAATTTCTCCCATTTGGAATGCCTGTACTTACCCAATGTCTGTAGCCCCTTTGTATCTAGGAAGTAACTAACTTGCTTTTGATTTTACAGGCTTACAGGTGGAAGAAACTTGCCTTGTCTTGGATGAGACTTTGGACTGTGGACTTTTGAGTTAATGCTGAAATGAGTTAAGACTTCTGGGGACTGTTTGGAAGGCATGATTGGTTTTGAAATGTGAGGACATGAGATTTGGGAGGGGCCAGGGGCAAAATGATATGGTTTGGCTGTGTCCCCACCCAAATCTTATCTTAAATTGTAGCTCCCAAAATTCCCTCATGTTGTGGCAGGAACCCAGTGGGAGATAATTGAATCATGGGGGTGGTTTCCCCCACACTGTTCTCATGGTAGTGAATAAGTCTCATGAGATCTGATGGTTTCATAAGGGGAAATCCCTTTCACTTGGCTCTCATTCTCTTCTCTTGTCTGCTGCCATATGAGATGGGCCTCTCACCTTCCACCATGATTTTTTGTGAGGCCTCCCCAGCCACGTGGAACTGTGAGACCATTGAAACTCTTTCTTTTGTAAATTGCCCAGTCTTGGGTATGTCTTTATCAACAGTGTGAAAATGAACTAACACATGTTAGTTCATGTTCACAGAACTAAAGAAATCCATGACTAGATAAACAAAGGAAGGTATTATAACAATGTTGCAGCAAATAAGAGAATAGAAATTAAAAATATAAATTGGAAAAAAGAAATAAATGAAAATTTTAGAGTGAAAAAGAACAATAACTGAAAAAAATTTAAAATCACTACTAGGGCTCAACAGTAAATTTGAACTGGCAGAAGAGAGAAGAATTGAACTTGAAGATAAATATATGGAAGTAATTCAAGCCAAAAAATAAAGAGGAAAAAGAATGAAGCGACATGAAAACAGCCTTGAAGAAATATGGGACACCCTTACATATAAAGGGAGTATTGGAAGTAGAGAAAAGAAAAAGGTACATAAAGATATTCAAAGAAACAGGATCTGAAACTTTCCAAATTTATTGAAAAACAATAACACATTCAAGAAGCTTAACAATCTCCATGTAAGATAAATACAAAGAGGTCTACAAACTTATATATGAGAGTCAAAATGCTAGAAGTCAAAATAACGAGAAAATCTTGAAAGTGGCAAGAGAAAAACAACACATCACTTACAAGGGAGTCCCAATAAGATTAACAGCTGACTTCTCAAAATAAACAATAGGTGCCAAAAAGCAGTGGGATAACATATTCATAGTGCCTAAAGAAGAAAAAAATGTCAACCAAGAATCCTATATCCAACAAACATGTGTTCCAAAAATGAAGGTGGAATAAAGACTGCCCCAGATTTAAAAAAAAAACCGAAGAATTTGTTGCTAGTAGACTTTCCTTACAATAAATCCTAGAGGAAATTTTTCAGGCTGAAAGCAATGACCACAGATGGTAATTAGAATCTACACAAAAAACAAGGCATTATAAACAAAATTATGCAATTTTAAAAGACAGAATGTATGCATATTTTCTATTTCTTAACTGACTAAAGAAGAAATTGTATAAAATAACATAGGACATATTGTTGGACCTACAACATAAAAATGTAATATATGTGTAATATATATGCCAAAACAGCACACAAGAGGTGGATGGGAGCAAACTCTAATGGGTGATAGAAATGATGACAGATGGTAAATTTATAATTATAACAATGTATTTTTGTGTTTGTAATATTGTATTACACCAATTCTACAATGCTATAAAGAAATACCCAAGACTGGGTAATTTTTAAACAAAAGAGGTTTAATCAACTCACAGTTCCACATGGCTGGGGAAGCCTCAAGCAGCTTATAATCATGGCGTAAGGGGAAGGAAAAGCAAGTACCTCTTCACAAGGCAGCAGGAAAAAGAGAAGTGCAAGCAGGGGAAATGCCAAATGCTTATAAAACCATCATATTGCATAAGAACTCACTATCATGAGAACAGCAGGGTGAAACAGCCCCCATGATCCAATCACCTCCTTCCCTTGACATGTGAGAATTACAGGTCCCTCCCTTAACACATGAGGATTACAATTCAAGATGAGATTTGGGTAGGGAAACAGAGCCAAAGCATATTATTCTGCCCCTGGCCCTTTCCAAATCTCATATAATTTCACATGTCAAAACCAATTATGCCTTCCCAACAGTCCCCCAAAGTCTAAACTCATTTCAGCATTTATTCAAAAGTCCACAGTGCAACATCTCATCTGAGCAAGGCAAGTCCCTTCTGTCTATGAGCCTGTAAAATAAAAAAAACAGTTAATTCCTTCCAAGATACAATGCAGGTAGAGGCATTGGATAAATGCTCTCATTTCAAATGGGAGAAATTGACCAAAACCAAGGGGCTACAGGCCCCATGCAAGTCTGAAATCCAGTAGGCCAGTCATTAAATCTTAAAGCTTCTAAATAATCTCTTTTGATTCCACATCTCACATCCAGGTCATGCTAATGCAAGAGGTGCATTCCCATAGGCCTGGGCAGCTCCAATCCTGTGGCTTTGCAGGGTGCAGCTCCCACCTGGCTGCTTTCATGGTCTGGTGTTGAATGTCTGTGGCTTTTCCAAGTGCACAGTGCAAGGTGTTGATGCATCTACTATTCTGAGGTCTGGAGGACAGTGGCCCTCTTCTCACAGCTCCACTAGGCAGTGCTCCAGTAGGGACTCTGTGTGGGGGCTCCAAATACATTTCCCTTTCGTACTGCCCTAGCAGAGGTTCTCCATGAGGGCTATACCTCTGCAGCAGACCTCTGCCTGGACATCCAAGCACTTCCATACATCCTCTGAAATCTAGGTGAAGGTTCCCAAACCTCAATTCTTGACTTCTGTGCACCCACAGGCCCAAGACCACCTTTTGAAGCAATGGCCCAAGCTGTACCTTGGCCCTTTTTAGCCACAGCTGGAGCTGAAGTGGCTGGGACACAGGACGCCATGTCCCAAGGCTTCACAGAGCAGTGGGGGCCCTGGGCCTGACCCAAGAAACCATTTTTACCTCCTAGGCCTCCAGGCCTGTGATAAGAGGGGTTGGTCTGAGGATCGCTGACTTGCTCTGGAGATATTTTCCCCATTGACTTGGCTATGAACACTCAGTTTCTCATTACTTACACAAATTTCTGCAGCTGTCTTTATTTCCTCCCCAGAAAACGGGTTTTTCTTTTCTACCTCATGGTCAGGCTGCAAATTTTCCAAACTTTTATGCTCTGCTTCCTCTTGAATGCTTTGCCACTTAGAAATTTCTTCCACCAGATACCCTAAATCATCTCTCTCTAGTTCAAAGTTCCTCAGATTTCTAGGGCAGAGTCAAAATGCCACCAGTCTCTTTACTAAAGCATAGCAAGGGTGACTTTTATTCCAGTTCCCAGTAAGTTCCTCATCTCCATCAGAGACTACCTCAGCCTGGACTTCATTGTCCACATCACTATCAGCATTTTGGTCAAAACCATTCAACAAGTCTCTAGGAAGTTCCAAACTTTCCCACATCTTTCTGTCTTCCTCTGAGCCCTCCAAACTATTCCAACCTCTGCCCATTATCCAGTTCCAATGTGGCTTACATATTTTCAGGCTAACTTTATAGCAGTACCCCAATTCCAGTACCAATTTCCTATATTACTCCATTCTCACACTGCTATAAAAAAACTACCCAAGACTAGGTAAGTTTTTTTTTTTTTTTTGAGGTGGAGTCTTGCTCTGTCACCCAGGCTGGAGTGTGAACTCGGCTCATTGCAACCACTACCTTCCAGGTTCAAGCAATTCTCCTGCCTCAGCCTCCCAAGTAGCTGGGATTACAGGCACCCACCACCACGCCCGACTAATTTTTGTATTTTTAGTAGAGACGGGGGTTTCACCATGTTGGCCAGGGTGGTGTCAAACGCCTGACCTCAGGTGATCCGCCCACGTTGGCCTCCCAAAATGTTAGGATTACAGGTGTGAGCCACCACACCCAGCCAAGACTAGGTAACTTATAAACAAATGAGGTTTAATTTGATTCACAGCTCCACATGGCTGAGGAGGCCTCAGGAAACTTACAAAACTTACAATCATGGCAGAAGGGGAGAAAGAAGCAAGTTCCTTCTTCACAAGGTGGCAGGAAAGATAGAGGTGCAGGCAGGGGAAATGCCAGATGCTTATAAAACCATCAGATCTCATGAGAACAGCGTGGGGGTAACTGCTCTCATGATCTAATCACCTTCCTCCATTGACATGTGGGGATTGCAATTCAAGATGAGATTTGGGTGGGGACACAGAGCCAAACCATATCAAATATTAAGAGATGTAATGTGCATAAAATTATACCACAAAAGGTGGGAAAAGGAATCAAACTAGATAGAAGTATATCTATATGTCACTAGAATTAAGCCAGTATAAATCTGAAGCTAATTCTTTTTTTTTGAGACAGAGTTTCACTGCTGTTGCTCAGGCTGGAGTGCAATGGCGCGATCTCGGCTCACTGCAAACTCCACCTCTTGGATTCAAGCAATTCTCCTGCCTCAGCCTCCCAAGTAGCTGGGATTACAGGCACCCACCACCACACCCAGCTAATTTTTATATTTTTAGTAGAGACAGGGTTTCACCATGTTGGCCAGGCTGGTCTTGAACTCCTGACCTCAGGTGATCCACCCCCATCTTGGCCTCCCAAAGTGCTGGGATTACAGGCATGACCTGAAGCTAATTCTGTTAAATTAAGGAGGTTATGGTAAAATCTAGAGAAGCCATTTAAAAAACTTTTTAAATGTAGAGAAAAGTCAGTACAGAAATGAATTCTACATTAGAAAGTATTCATTCAATACAAAAAAAACAATAAAAGAAAAACAGAGAAACAAAAAAGTCATGAAACAAAACAAGCAGTAAGATGGCAGAGGTAAATCCAACCATGTCAATAATATCTTTAAAGGTAAATGGATTTAACAATCCAATTAAAAGGCAGAGATTGTCAGACTGGATTAAAAACATGAATCAACTATATGGTCTCTATAGAAGACACACTTGAGATTCAAAGATACAAATACATTAAAAGCAAAAGGTATATAACAGTATAAAAGGAAAAGATATGTAACAGTAACCACAATAAAGCTGGTGTGGCTGTACTGATAGCAGATAAAATAGATTTTAAAATTTAAAAAGTTACTAAAAATAAGGAAGGATATTTTATAATTATAAAAGGATCACTCCATCAGGAAGATATAACAATTATAAACGTGTGCACCTAATAACAAAGTACCAAAAATACATGAAGCAAACATCAAGAGAAAGGAAGGGAAAAACAGACAATTTAAGAATAACAGTTGGAGACTTCAACATCCCACTATCAATAATGGTTAGAACCACTACACAGATGATAAATAAGGAAACAGAAGATTTTAACAATACTACAAACCAACTAGACCAGACATCTCTAGAACACTTTCTCCAATAAAAATGAAATATACATTCTTCTCAAGTGTACATGGAAAATTCTCCAGGATAGACAAGATGCTAGGCTGTAAAACAAACCTCTATAATTTTAATGCTAGAATAATATAAAATATATACTCACACTACAATGGAATGAAATTACAAATCTGAAACTGGAAAAAAATGGGAAACTCACAAATATGTGGACATTAAATAACATACTCCTAAATAACAATGGGTCAATGAATAAATCACAAGAGAAATCATAAAAATACTTTGAGATTAATGAAAATGAAGACATAGTCCGGGCGCAGTGGCTCACGCCTGTAATCCCAACACTTTGGGAGGTCAAGGTGGGTGGATCACAAGGTCAGGAATTCGAGACTAGCCTGGCCAAAATGGTGAAACCCTGTCTCTACTAAAAATACAAAAAAATTAGCCAGGCGTGGTGGCACATGCCGGTAATCCCAGCTACTCGGGAGGCTGAGGCAGGAGAATTGCTTGAATCTGGGAGGCGGAGGTTGCAGTGAGCTGAGGTCATGCCACTGCACTCCAGTCTGGGTGGCAGAGCGAGACTCCATCTCAAAAAAAAAAGAAAAAAAAAGAAAATGAAGACACAACATATTGAGCAGTCCTTAGAGGGAAATTTATAGCTGTAAAACCTGTGTTAAGAAAGAAGAAAAATCTCAAATCAATAAACTAACAGCTCAACTTAAGACTATGGAAAAGGTAGAGTAAACTAAATGTAAAGAAAGTGAAAGGAAGGAAATAATAATGACTACAGCAGAAATTAATACAATAGAGAATAGAAAAACACTAAAGGAAATCAATGAAATCAAAAGATGGTTATTTGAAAAGATCAACAATATTAACAAACATTTAGCTAAGTTGACCAGGAGAAATAGAGAAGGCTCAAATTATTAGAATTGGAAACGAGAGAAGGGATGCTAGCACTGATCTTCTTTCAGAAATAAAAAGGATTATAAGGGAATACAATGAACAATTTTGCCAACAAATCAGATAACTTGGATGAAATTGTCAAATTTCTAGAAAGACACACACAAAAAACTGATTCAATAAGAAATAGACAATATAAATAGACTTTTAACAAGTGAAGAGATTGAATCAATTCTCAAAAACCTACCCACAGATGGCTGCACCACTGAATCCTCCCAAAGAGCCAAAGATGAATCAACACCAATTCTTCACAATATCTTCCAAAAGATAAAGATGGAGGGATACTTCTAACTCATTTCATGAAGCCAGTATTACATTGATATAACACCAGGCGAAGACATCACAGGAAAATAAAATAGACCAATGTCTCTTATGAATACCAATGCAAAGACTAGCAAACAGAATCCTGAACTGATCAAAAGTATTTTACACAATTACCATGTGGGATTTATCCTATGCAAGCAAAGTTAATTTAATATCCAAAAAGACAATGAATGTAATACATCATATGAACATGAAAAAAATAATCACATGATCATCTCACTAGATACAGAAAAAGCATTTGTCAAAATCCAACAACTTTTTTATGTAAAAGCATGCAACAAATTAGGAATAGAAGAAAACTTCCTAAATCCAATAAAAGGCATCTAGGAAACACCCACAAATAACATTATACTTAATAGTGAAAGACTGGATGCATTTCCCATAAGAATAGGAACAACATCTTCCATTCAACATTGTACTGAGGTTCTAGCCAAAGCAATTAGGCAAGAGAAGGAAATCAAAGGCATCTAGATTAAAAAGAAACTACTTGTATTTATAGGTATGATCTTTTGTATAGAAAATACTAAGAAATCCTTTAAAAAATTATTGCAACTAATAAATGAATTCAGTAAGGTTTTGGGATGTAAGATCAATATTTTAAAAATCAGTTGTGTTCCTATACATATGCAATAAACAATCTGAAATAAAGTTTTAAAAATCTTATTTGCAATAACATTTAAAAAGTACTTAGGAGTAAATATAACAAAAGAAGTGTACAGCTTATACTCAGAAGAAATTAAAGAAGATCCAAATAATTGGAAAAACATCCCATGTTCATGTAGAAGACTTAACATGTTTAAGATAGCAATATTCCCATTCTGATGTACAGATCCAACAAATTCTTTTTCAGAATCCTAGTTAATGTCTTTGTAAAAATTGACAAGCTTATTCTAAAATTTATACGGAATTGCAAGGTACCCAGAAAAGCCAAAATAATCCTGTAAAAGAAGAGTCAAGTAGAAAGACTCACATTTCCCATTCCTTTTCAAAACATTCTACAAAGCAAGAATAAGCAAGACAGTGTGTTACTGACACAAGGGTGGACATATAGATCAATGTGATAGAATTAATCATTCAGAAATAAATCCATGACTGATTTTCATCAAAATTGTCAATACCATTAAGTGGAGAAAGAATAGTCTTCAACAAATGGTGCTGGTACAACTAAACATCCACATGCAAAAGAATGAAATTGGACCCTTACCACATACCATATACAAAAATTAACTAAAATGGATCAGAGACCTTAATGTAAGAGAGCAAATGCTACAAAACTCTTACAAAAAAACATAGGGGTAAATTTTCATGACCTTGGATTTGGCAAAGAATTCTTAGCTATGACACCAGCACAAGCAACAACAACAACAGCACAGAAAAAATTTCCCTCAAAGAAAATACACAAATAGCCAATAAGCATGTGAAACAATTCTTCACATCATTTGTCATTAGGGAAATGTGAATCAAAACTACAATAAAATAACACTTCAGTCCCTCTATTATAGCTAGAATCAAAAGTCAGATAATAAGTATTGGCAAGTATGTGGAGAAATCAGAACCCACATGCACTGCTGATGTGAATGTAAAATTGTGTAGGTTTTCCAAAAACACCTTGGAAAACAGTCTGGCAGTTCCTCAAATTATTAAAAATAGAATTGCCATATGATCCAGCAATTCCACTCCTTAGGTGATATATACCCAAAGAGAAATGAAAACAAATGTTTGTCCACAAAAAGCATGCACATGAATGTTTATTGAAACATTACTCATTAAGGCCAAAAGATGGAAACAATCCAAGTGTCTATCAATGGACAAATGAATAAATAAAATGTGGTATATCCATAAGTAGAATATGATTCAGTCATAAAAATGAACTACTGAAATATGCCACAACATGGATGAACCTTGAAAAAATTATGCTAAGTCAAAGAAGTTAGACACAAAGACCACACAGTACAATGATTCCTTTCAAATAAAATGTCCACAACAGGCCAGGTGTGGTGGCTCACACCTGTAATCTAAGCACTTTGGAAGGCCAAGGTGGGCGTATCACCTGAGGTCAGGAGTTCGAGACCAGCCTAGCCAACATGGTGAAACCCCGTCTCTACTAAAAATACAAAAATTAGCTGGGCATGGTGGCAGGCGCCTGTAGTCCCAGCTACTCAGGAGGCTAAGGTAAGAGAATCACTTGAACCCGGGAGGTAGAGGTTGCAGTGAGCCAAGATCTCGCCATTGCACTCCAGCCTGGGAAATAAGAGCAAGACTTCGCCTCAAAAAAAAAAAAAATTGTTCATAACAATACAATCAACAAAGACAAAGTAGATTTGTGGTTGCTTAGGGCTGGGGGTAGGACGGTAGGAGAGGATGAAGGATTGCAGAATGATAGCTAAAGTGCATAAGGCTTCTTTTTGAGGTGATGAAATATTCTAAAATTGACCGGTAATGGTTACTTATATCTATAAATATACTGAACACCACAGAATTGTACACTTTGAAAAAGTGAATTATATATGAAGTGTATTGCAACAAACCTTTAGGAAAATTATCTCAGAACAAAAGAAACCTATGGGAACTTACGAAACAGAATCCACATCTATGTGCTGTGGAACAATACCAGTAAGGTTTAACAATATATCCAAGTGTGATTTCATTTCATTAATTTTTTCATCTATTTCCTGCCATTCTTCAAGAGGCGTATCAGGAAACTCCAGGTTTTCCAACTTGAAAGAACAGAAGTCAAGAGAACTAATCAAACTTGGAAGAATTTTGGAGTAACCTAGAAAAGTAAGAAAAGCATTAACTTTTAGAAATATTTGTAAGACTACTATTTTAATACCAAATTATAAAATCCTACTGAGCAAGGGCATTATCTTTTAAAAATCTTTTATTATCCTACAGCTTGACTAGCAGAGAACCTTACAAAAAGCAGTTCCTAAATAAATGTTTAATGAATAAGCACTGTGTAATTGGTGCTTTAATGACTAACAAATTATTTTTTCAATGACAGTTTATATCCTACATTTCTTGTCTTTTCAGCTGAGAATCAAATGCATTAAACCCAGAAACTATCAACTATAGTTTTCTGTAAAAGACCTTAATTCACTACATCATTCTTTTAAGAGGACAATGATAATAATCAGCTTCTTCATGATTATGGGATAGTGAATAACAAATTAAAATAGATTATCATAGTTCTTGAGTCATTTTTTAGGTTATTGATCAGGGTTTCATAAAGTTTATAGCTTTTAGTCTGAACAAAACTTGAGTGTGGATCCTAATGTGGGTCCAGTGGACTGATTCACTATGAGATTATGGCAAAATACCCTCTTTTTCTTATTTATTTGCAAAATACAAAATGAAAACATTCCCATCTCAAAGTTATATAAAGACAAGTAATTTAAAAGGAAACTTTTTCTTGTCTTGGATGAAAATATTTTCACTGCCTTCCTTCATCAGTAAATTTTGATCTTTTAGGAATATTCAAAATGATCTGCTAATTTCACCACCATTCATAATTTTGACTTCTTCTTTTATTTTAAACCATTTGCTACCTCATTTTTCTCTGCCCACTGTACACAGTCATCCCTCAGTATCTACAGAGGATTGGTTTCAGGACCCCCATGGATACCAAAATCCATGGATTCTCAAGTCCCTTACAGAAAATGATGTGGTATTTGCATATAACCTATGCACATCCTCTTGTATACATTAAATCATCTCTAGATTACTTATATAACCTAATACAATGCAGATGTTATGTGATATTTATTATACTATATTGTGTTTTTATTTGTACTTTTTAATTTTTTTTAAGTATTTTTGATCCACGGTTGCTTGAATCTGATGATGCAGAACCCGCAGATCCAGAGGGCTGACATGGATAAGTATTGCCATTTTATCAATAACTATATTATTGCTGCCATAGAAAATTAAATTGTGTTTTCCCATGTAGCTTTCATAGTGCAGTTTTAAATTGAACAATTGTGCCAGTCAATGGTTCAGGGTTGCCTCAGACACTTGCTGAGAAGGATTCTTAAGAAACACATGATGCACTGAGCAAAAATGTTTTAATGAATTTTTAATATCTTTCATGGATTTTGGAGGATGGAACTTCAATATCTTTCATGGAAATTTGGGATATTAAGTCACTCTACTCAGGGGTCGGGTGGTGGACAAAATTGAAGTACAGAATTTGCTAAGGAGTAGAGGTCCTGGTAACACCAGGATACTATTGGGACCCCTAATTCTCTGAAGCATTACATCTTAAGAATAACAGTGGAACAGAAATAGAACAGCCCTCAGAAAGCCCAAGGCCAGACTTCATTTCAGCTCAGTCCCTGCTTGGATTAAGGTGATCCGTGCCTGCACTAAATGACCTGCCAGAATAAAAAGTAAAATCCTTCTTATGTAATATAGTATCATCCAGAGTCTCAAATTATCTCTAAAACTCTTCACACACAATGTCCAACATTCAATCAGAAACAGAAATATGAAAAGAATGGACTCAAAACCAAGACAAAAATACAGAAAATAAAATAGAACTATAGGAGAACCAAATATTATCCAATCACCAGACATGGATTTTAAAATTAACTGTGACTACAACTTTCAAGTTATAAAATGACAAGATGGAAAATTTCAGCAGAGAACTAGAAACTCTAAAAGTTAATAAATTCTAGGACTGAAAAATATAATAATTAAAATTTTAAAATCAGTGGATGTTTACCAGAAAGTTAAACTAACACACTAAAGAAAAACACCGTCAAATTATAATTCTTAGAAAATAACCATTAAGGCCCAGCGCAGTGGCTCATGCCTATAATCCCAGCACTTTGAGAGGTCAAGGGGGAGGACTGCTTGAGCTTAGGAGTTCAAGACCAAGAGCAGCCTAGGCAACATAATTAGACCCCATCTCAAAAAAAAAAAAAAAAAAGAAGAAGAAGAAGAAAGAAAGAAAAGAAAAGAGGAGGTTCCAAGATGGCCGAATAGGAACAGCTCCAATCTACAGCTCCCAGCGTGAGCAATGCAGAACTCGGGTGATTTCTGAATTTCCAACTGAGGTATTGGGTTCATCTCACTGGGGCTCGTCTGACAGTGGGTGCAGCCCATGGAGTGTGAGCTGAAGCAGGGCGGGGCATTGCCTCACCCGGGAAGTGCAAGGGGTCAGGGACTTCCCTCTCCTAGCCAAGGGAAGCCATGAAAGACGGTACCTGGAAAATTGGGACACTCCCACCCTAATACTGCGCTTTTCCAATGGTCTTAGCAAACGGCACACCAGGAGATTATATCCCGCGCCTGGCTCAGAGGGTCCGACACCCACAGAGACTCACTCACTGCTAGCACAACAGTCTGAGATCAAACTGCAAGGTGGCAGCGAGGCTGGGGGAGGGGCGTCCGCCATTGCTAAGGCTTGAGTAGGTAAACAAAGCGGCCAGGAAGGTCGAATTGGGTGGAGCCCACCACAGCTCAAGGAGGCCCACCTGCCTCTGCAGACTCCATCTCTGGGGGCAGGGCATAGCTGAACAAAAGGCAGCAGAAACTTCTGCAGACTTAAACATCCCTGGCTGACAGCTTTGAAGCAAGTAGTGGTTCTCCCAGCACAGAGTTTGAGATCTGAGAACAGACAGACTGTCTCCTCAAGTGGGTCCATGACCCCCGAGTAGCCTAACTGGGAGACACCTCCCAGTAGGGGCCAACTGACACCTCATACGGCCAGGTGCCCCTCTGAGACGAGGCTTCCAGAGAAAGGATCAGGCAGAAACATTTGCCATTCTGCAATATTTGCTGTTCTGCAGCCTCCGCTGGTGATACCCAGGCAAACAGGGTCTGGAGTGGACCTCCAGCAAACTCCAACAGACCTGCAGCTGAGGGTCCTGACTGTTAGAAGGAAAACTAACAAACAGAAAGGACATCCACAACAAAACCACATCTGTACGTCACCATCAACAAAGATCAAAGGTAGATAAAACCACAAAGGGGGAGAAACCAGAGTAGAGAAGCTGAAAATTCTAAAAATCAGAGCATCTCTTCTCCTCCAAAGGCACACAGCTCCTCAACAGCAACGGAACAAACCTGGATGGAGAATGACTTTGATGAGTTGAGAGAAGAAGGCTTCAGATGATCAGTAATAACAAATTTCTCTGAGCTAAAGGAGGATGTTCAAACCCATTGCAAAGAAGCTAAAAACCTTGAAAAAAAGATTAGATGAATGGCTAACTAAAATAAACAGTGTACAGAAGACCTTAAGTGACCTGATGGAGCTGAAAACCATGGCATAAGAACTACGTGATGCATGCAGAAGCTTCAGTAGCTGATTTGATCAAGTGGAAGAAAGAGTATCAGTGATTGAAGATCGAATGAATGAAATGAAGCAAAAAGAGAAGTTTAGAGAAAAAAGAGTAAAAAGAAACAAACAAAGCCTCCAAGAAATATGCGACTATGTGAAAAGACCAAATCTACGTCTATTGGTGTATCTGAAAGTGACAGGGAGAATGGAACCAAGTTGGAAAACACTCTTCAGGATATTATCCAGGAGAACTTCCCCAACCTAGCAAGGCAGGCCAACATTCAAATTCAGGAAATACAGAGAATGCCACAAAGATACTCCTCGAGAAGAGCAACTCCAAAACACATAATTGTCAGATTCACCAAAGTTGAAATGAAGGAAAAAATGTTAAGGGCAGCCACAGAGAAAAGTCGGGTTACTCACAAAGGGAAGTCCATCAGATTAAAAGCGGATCTCTTGGCAGAAGCTCTACAAGCCAGAAGAGAGTGGGGGCCAATATTCAACATTCTTAAAGAAAAGAATTTTCAACCCAGAATTTCATATCCAGTAAAACTAAGCTTCATAAGTGAAGGAGAAATAAAATCCTTTACAGACAAGCAAATGCTGAGAGATTTTATCACCACCAGGCCTGCCTTACAAGAGCTCCTGAAGGAAGCACTAAACATGGAAAGGAACAACTGGCACCAGCCACTGCAAAAACATGCCAAATTGTAACGACCATTGATGCTAGGAAGAAACTGCATCAACTAACGAGCAAAATAACCAGCTAACAGCATAATGACAGGATCAAATTCACACATAATATTAACCTTAAATGTAAATGGGCTAAATGCCCCAATTAAAAGACACAGACTGGCAAATTGGATAAAGAGTCAAGACCCATCAGTGTGCTGTATTCAGGAGACCAATCTCATGTTCAGAGACACACATAGGCTCAAAATAAAGGGATGGAGGAAGAACTACCAAGCAAATGGGAAAAAAAACAGCAGAGGTTGCAATCCTAGTCTCTGATAAAACAGACTTTAAACCAACAAAGATCAAAAGAGACAAAGAAGGCCATTACATAATGGTAAAGGGATCAATTCAACAAGAAGAGCTAACTATCCTAAATATATATGCACCCAATACAGGAGCACCCAGATTCATAAAGCAAGTCCTTAGAGACCTACAAAGAGACTTAGACTCCCACACAATAATAATGGGAGACTTTAACACCCCACTGTCAACAGTAGACAGATCAAGGAGACAGAAAGTTAACAAGGATATCCAGGAATTGAATTCAGCTCTGCAACAAGCAGACCTAACTGACATCTACAGAACTCTCCACCCCAAATCAACAGAATATACATTCTTCTTAGCATCACATCGCACTTATTCCAAAATTGACCACATAGTTGGAAGTAAAGCTCTCCTCAGTAAATGAAAAAGAATAGAAATTATAACAAACTGTCTCTCAGACCACAGTGCAATCAAACTAGAACTCAGGATTAAGAAACTCACTCAAAACTGCTCAACCACATGGAAACTGAACAACCTGCTCCTGAATGACTACTGGGTACATAATGAAATGAAAGCAGAAATAAAGATGCTCTTCGAAACCAATGAGAACAAAGACACAACATACCAGAATCTCTGGAACACATTTAAAGCAGTGTGTAGAGGGAAATTTATAGCACTAAATGCCCACAACAGAAAGCAGGAAAGATATAAAATTGACACTCTAACATCACAATTAAAAGAACTAGAGAAGCAAGAGCAAACACATTCAAAAGCTAGCAGAAGGCAAGAAATAACTAACATCAGAGCAGAACTGAGGAGATAGAGACACAAAAAACCCTTCAGAAAATAAATGAATCCAGGAACTGGTTTTTTGAAAAGATTAACAAAATTGATAGACTGCTAGCAAGACTAATAAAGAAAAGAGAGAAGAATCAAATAGATGCAATAAAAAATGATAAAGGGGATATCACCACTGATCCCACAGAAATACAAACTACCATCAGAGAATACTATAAACACCTCTACGCAAATAAACTAGAAAATCTAGAAGAAATGGATAAATTCCTGGACACATACACCCTCCCAAGAGTAAACCAGGAAGAATTTGAATCCCTGACTAGACCAATAATGGGTTCTGAAATTGAGGCAATAATTAATAGCCTACCAACTGAAAAAAACAGGAAGAAGTTGAATCCCTGAATAGACCAATAAATAACAGGTTCTGAAATTGAGGCAATAATTAATAGCTTACCAACCAGGACCAGACAGATTCACAGCCAAATTCTACCAGAGGTACAAAGAGGAGCTGGTACCATTCCTTCTGAAACTATTCCAATCAATAGAAAAAGAGGGAATCCGCCCTAACTCATTTTATGAGGCCAGAATCATCCTGATACCAAAGCCTGGCAGAGACACAACAAAAAAAAGAGAATTTTAGACCAATATCCCTGATAACATCGATGCAAAAATCCTCAATAAAATACTGGCAAACCGAATCCAGCAGCACATCAAAAAGCTTATCCACCACGATGAAGCTGGCTTCATCCCTGGGATTCAAGGCTGGCTCAACATATGAAAATCGATAAATGTAATCCAGCATATAAACAGAACCAAAGACAAAAACTATATGATTATCTCAATAGATGCAGAAAAGGCCTTTGACAAAATTCAGCAGCCCTTCATGTTAAAAACTCTCAATAAACTAGCTATTGATAGGATGTATCTCAAAATAATAAGAGCTATTTATGACAAACCCACAGCCAATAACATACTGAATGGGCAAAAACAGGAAGCATTCCCTTTGAAAACTGGCACAAGACAAGGATGCCCTCTCTCACCACTCCTATTCAACATAATGTTGGAAATTATGGCCAGGGCAATCAGGCAGGAGAAAGAAATAAAGGGTATTCAATTAGGAAAAGAGGAAGTCAAATTGTCCCTGTTTGCAGATGACATGATTGTATATTTAGAAAACCTCATTGTCTCAGCCCAAAATCTCCTTAAGCTGATCAGCAACTTCAGCAAAGTCTCAGGATACAAAATCAATGTGCAAAAATCACAAGCATTACTATACACCAATAACAAACAGAGCCAAATCATGAGTGAACTCCCACTCACAATTGCTTCAAAGAGAATAAAGTACCTAGGAATCCAACTTACAAGGGGTGTGAAGGACCTCTTCAAGGAAAACTACAAACCTCTGCTCAACAAAATAAAAGAGGACACAGACAAACGGCAGAACACTCCATGTTCATGGATAGGAAGAATCAATATCGTGAAAATGGCCATACTGCCCAAGGTAATTTATAGATTCAATGCCATCCCCATCAAGCTACCAATGACTTTCTTCACAGAATTGGAAAAAACTACTTTAAAGTTCATATGGAACCAAAAAATAGCCCACATTGCCAAGACAATCCTAAGCAAAATGAACAAAGCTGGAGGCATCATGCTACCTGACTTCGAACTATACTACAAGGCTACAGTAACCAAAACAGCATGGTATTGCTATCAAAACAGATATATAGACCAATGGAACAGGACAGAGCCCTCAGAAATAATACCACACATCTACAACCATCTGATCTTTAAGAAACCTGACAAAAACAAGAAATGGGGAAAGGATTCCCTATTTAATAAATGGTGCTGGGAAAACTGACTAGCCATATGTAGAAACCTGAAACTGGATCCCTTCCTTACACCTTATACAAAATTAATTCAAGATGGATTAAAGACTTAAATGTTAGACCTAAAACCATAAAAACCCTAGAAGAAAACCTAGGCAATACCATTCAGGACATAGGCATGGGCAAGAACTTCATGACTAAAACACCAAAAGCAATGGCAACAAAAGCCAAAATTGACAAATGAGATCTAATTAAACTAAAGAGCTTCTGCACAGCAAAAGAAACTACCATCAGAGTGAACAAGCAACCTACAGAATGGGAGAAAATTTTTAGAATCTACCCATCTGACAAAGGGCTAATATTCAGAGTCCACAAAGAACTTAAACAAATTTACAAGAAAAAAACAAACAACCCCATCAACAAGTGGGCGAAGGATATGAACAGACACTTGTCAAAAGAATACATTTATGCAGCCAACAGACACATGAAAAAATGCTCATCATCAGTGGTCATCAGAGAAATGCAAATCAAAACCACAATGAGATACCATCTCACACCAGTTAGAATGGTGATCATTAAAAAGTCAGGAAAACAACAGGTGCTGGAGAGGATGTGGAGAAATAGGAACACTTTTACACTGTTGTTGGGACTGTAAACTAGTTCAACCGTTGTGGAAGACAGTGTGGCGATTCCTCAAGGATCTACAACTAGAAATACCATTTGATCCAGCCATTCCATTGCTGGGTATATACCCAAAGGATTATAAATCATGCTGCTATAAAGACACATGCACACCTACGTTTATTGTGGCACTATTCACAATAGCAAAGACTTGGAACTAACCCAAATGTCCATCAGTGATAGACTGGGGATTAAGAAAATGTGGCATATATACACCATGGAATACTATGCAGCCCAGCCATAAAAAAGGATGAGTTCATGTCCTTTGTAGGGACATGGATGAAGCTGGAAACCATCATTCTCAGCAAACTATCACAAGGACAGAAAACCAAACACCGCATCTTCTCACTCATATGTGAGAATTGAACAATGAGGACACTTGGACACAGGGTGGGGAACATCACATACCGAGGCCTGTCGTGGGGTGGGGGGAGGTGGGAGCGAGAGCATTAGGAGATACACCTAATGTAAATGATGAGTTAATGGGTGCAGCACACCAACATGGCACATGTATACACATGTAACAAACCTGCACGTTGTGCACATGTACCCTAGAACTTAAAGGATAAGAATAATAATAAAGAAAATAAAAGAAATGAAAGAAGGAAGGAAGGAGAGGAAGGAAGGAAGGAAGGAAAGAAAGAAAGAAAAAGAAAGAAAGAAAGAAGGAAGAAAAGAAAAGAGAGAGAGAAGGAAGGAAGGAAAGAGAGAAAGAAAAGGAATGAAAGAAAGAAAAGAAAAGAGAAAAGAAAAGAAAGGAAGGAAAGAAAGGAAGGAAGGAAGGGAAAGAAAAGAAAAGAAAAAGAGAAGGAAGGAAGGAAAGAAAGAGAGAGAGAAAGAAAATAAAGAAAAAGAAAAGAGAAAAGAAAAGAAAGGAAGGAAGGAAAAAAGGAAGGAAGGAAAGAAAGAAAAAGAAAGAAAGGAAAGAAAGAAAGAAAAGAAAAGAAGAGAAAAGAAAGCAAGCCTTTAAACAAAAAGTAATCAGCAGACCCACCACTATAGAAAATACCAAAGACATTTCTTCAAGGAAAAAGAAAATTATTCCAGAAAGCAAATGCAAACGTAGGAAGGGAGCAATATGAGAATAAAAAGATCTTACTCTACAAATTCACAAAAGGGAAAGATCAGTTATTCTTTGGCCATAGACTCAAGCCTTAAACAAGTAATCACAAAATCAATTTTAAACTTTTTCATGAGCATTTATTTTGATTATATAAACATTATCTTATCCTATGTATTAATTTTAGAAGAATTATATTATGAAAATGTATTATATTACATATATAATTTTCTTCCTATAGAACCTATGTCTTTTAAACAACTAAATGTATTCTAGCCAGGCATAGTGGCATGCACCTGTAGTCCCAGCTACTCAGGAGGCTGAGGCAGGAGGATTGTTTGAACCCAGGAGTTCAAGGCCATTATTCGGCCTGGACATTATAGGTAAGTACTTCCTTTAAAGAATGTATTCTTGAGGTGATAAAAACTAATGGCTTGGAAGTATTTTTCCCATTCTCATTTTTAGGTCCTTTATTGCTTAAGTAGAGAAAAACAATTTACTTTTATTTATTTAATTCTGATTCAGTCTCCTCACCAAACTGTCTTACTGATTTTAATCTTTTTTTCCTATAGTTCCAGATTTTCTAAGTATATAACTATAATATCAGCACAAAGAAATATTTTATCTTCTCTTTTTCAATATTCATATCTGTTATTTTACTTTATTCTATTATTTTATTTTCTAGAACCACCAAAAAAAAAATAAAAATGTTGATATCAAGCATCCTCATCTATTTTGTTAGGTTAATTATAAAGTTTAAGTGTTTTTCCATTCATGGTATTACTATTGGTTTTTTATTTGTTTTAGTATTATATTTATGTAGTTTTTTTCTAGGGATATTTAATTTAGACTTTTTCTTGAGAATATGCTGTATTTTAACAAAACAATTGCAGCATCTCTTATATGATCACACAGTTTTTTCTCTTAATATTTTTATGAAATGTATTATGCTGATCAATTTCCTAATGTTGAATCGCTCATGCATTCCTGGAATATATTCTACTTGGTTAAAATGTTTTGCTTTTAATCTTTGCTAAGCTATAATAATAATTATTATTTTATTTAGAACGTTTGCACCTACTGTCATAAATAACAGAAAATTGATGGGTTTATTTGTACTATATTTATTGTGTTTTGACATTATGGTTTTCTGGGTTCATAAACAATTTGGAGGATTTTCCATATTGTTCTAAGGCTTCGAATTATTTAAGAATCTTAAAATTATATGTTCTTTAAAGTTTAAATAAAACTTAGCTATGAAGCTAGGAATAAAAAAGAAAATCGGCCTGGTGTGGTGGCTCACTCCTGTAATCTCAGCACTTTGGGAGGCCAAGGTGGGTGAATGACTTGAGCCCAAGAGTTTGAGACCAGCCTGGACAATATGATGAAACCCAATCTCTACAAAAAAATTAGCCAGGAGTCACAGCATGCACCTGTAGTCCCAGCTACCTGAGAGGCTGAGGTGGGAGGATCACTTGAGCATGGCAGTTTGAGGCTGCTGTGAGCCATGATCATACCACTACACTCAGGCCTCAGCAACAGAGTAAGACTGTCTCAAAAAAAGAAAAAAAAAAAGAGAAGGAAAGAAAAGAAAAGAAAAAAGAGAAAATCAGCCCATGATATTTCCTCACTTCAGAATGTCAGCCAGTTAGCAACAATCCTATTCTAGTTACCACATGCCTGAAAGTCAATCAAGTAACAACAGCCTCACTCCAAATACAAGGTATCCATGGCTGAAAGTAAAACGATCTCTAAATACTCTTTTTTCTTAAAGTTTTTCAGTCTTGGAATTCCATGCTTCTGTGTGAATATCTCTTGCTTTGTTCAGAGAGGTTGTACATTGTATTACAGGGCTCCCTTCCTTAACAAGCAAAAATTCAGCTTTTTTATGGTTATTGTATTTGAATACTTGTATCTTTCTTAGACGAACTGAAAATATGAATATGTGGATAAATCTAAATGAATACTGGCTATATGAAATACGAATAATAATGTCTTGTGAGATTTAAGTATGTAAAAAGAACTGAAACACAAACAAAAATAACACAAAGTATGGGGGAAGCTAAACTAAGAACAAAATAAATTTTGAAATGTTTGGAAAGTAAATACTACATCTTCTAAATAATCCTGAGTCAAAAGACAAACCACAATGGAAATTTAAAACTGTCTTGCCTTTCTGCCCCTGGACGCCGCCGAAGAAGCATCATTAAAGTCTCTCTTCTCCCGGCCGTCTTGTCTAACTCAGAGTCTCCTAAAGAGCCCAAACAGTTGAGGAAGCTCTTCCTTGGACGGTTGAGCTTAGAAACAAGCAACGAGAGCCTGAGAAGCCATTTTGAGCAATGAGGAATGCTCATGGACTGTGTGGTAATGAGATCCAAATACCAAGCACTCCAGGGGCTTTGGGTTTGTCTCACATGCCACTGCGGAGAAGGTGGATGCAGCCATGAATGCAAGGCCACAAAAGGTGGATGGAAGAGTTGTGGAACCAAAGAGAGCTGTCTCAAGAGAAGATTCTCAAAGACCAGGTGCCCACTTAACTGTGAAAAAGATATTTGTTGGTGGCATTAAAGAAGACACTGAAGAACATCACCTAAGAGATTATTTTGAACAGTATGGAAAAAATGAAGTGATTGAAATCATGACTGAGGCAGTGGCAAGAAAAGAGGCTTTGCCTTTGTAACCTTTGACAATCATAACTCCATGGATAAAACTGTCATTCAGAAATAGCATACTGTGAATGGCCACAACTGTGAAGTTAGGAAAGCCCTGTCAGACCAAGAGATGGCTAGGGCTTCATCCAGCCAAAGAGGTCAAAGTAGTTCTGGAAACTTTGGTGGTGGTCATGGAGGTGGTTTCAGTGGGAATGACAACTTTGGTCACGGAGGAAACTTCAGTGGTCATGATGGCTTTGGTGGCAGCTGTGGTGGTGATGGATATGGTGGCAGTGGGGATGGCTATAATGGGTTTGGTAATGATGGTGGTTATGGAGGAGGTGGCCCTGGTTACTCCGGAGGAAGCAGAGGCTATGGAAGTGTTGGACAGGGTTATGGAAGCCAGGGCAGTGGCTATGGTGGGAGTGGCAGCTATAATAGCTATAACAACGGAGGTGGAGGCAGCTTTGGTGGTGGTAGTGGAAGCAGTTTTGGAGGTAGTGGAAGCTACAATGATTTTGGCAATTACAACAATCAGTCTTCAAATTTTGGACCCACGAAGGGAGGAAACTTTGGAGGCAGAAGTTCTGTCCCCTGTGGTGGTGGAGGCCAATACTTCGTCAAACCACAAAACCAAGGTGGCTATGGAGGTTCCAGTAGCAGCAGTAGCTATGACAGTGGCAGATTTTAATTAGGAAACAAAGCTTAGCAGGAGAGGAGATCCAGAGAAGTGACAGGGAAGCTACAGGTTACAACAGATTTGTGAACTCAGCCAAGCACAGTGGTAGCAGGGCCTAGGTGCTACAAAGAAGACATATTTTAGACAAATACTGATGAGTATGGGCAAAAAACTCGAGGACTGTTATTTGTGACTAACTCTATAACAGGTTATTTTAGTTTGTGTTCTGTGAAAAGTGTAAAGCATTCCAACAAAGGGTTTTAATGTAGTTTTTTTTTTTTGGCACCCATGCTGTTGATTGCTAAATGTAATAGTCTGATTGTGATGCTGAATAAATGTCTTTAAAAACAAAACAAAACAAAACAAACTATGTCTTAAACTAAATAATAAAAATTATGCAAAACATGGGATGCAGCCAAAGCTGGCTTCTTATGACTCAATTCTATTGGGTTTCCTCCTACTTCTATTGTCCTACTATCTCTCGTTACCCTTTAAAATGTTGGGGATCCATTCTTAGTCCTTAGTTATTCCCATTGTATATTTCCCCCCCAAGGTGATCTCATCAAAATTCATGGCTTTAACTAACACATATACTAGTATCTTCCAAAATTTTTTTTTTAATTTTTTTTTTTTTTTTTTTTTGAGACGGAGTCTCACTCTGTCGCCCAGGCTGGAGTACAGTGGCGCGATCTCAGCTCACTGCAAGCTCTGCGTCCCGGCTTCACGCCATTCTCCTGCCTCAGCCTCCAGAGTAGCTGGGACTACAGGCGCCCACCACCAAGCCCGGCTAATTTTTTTTGTATTTGTAGTAGAGACGGAATTTCACGGTGTTAGCCAGGATGGTCTTGATCTCCTGACCTCGTGATCCGCCCACCTCGGCCTCTCAAAGTGCTGGGATTACAGGCGTGAGCCACCGCACCCAGCCTCTTTTTTTTTTTTTACTTTTTTTTTTTTTTTTTTTGAAACAGAGTCTCACTCTCTCCCCTAGGCTGGGGTGCAAGGGTGCAATCTCTGCTCACTGCAAACTCTGCCTCCCGGGTTCAAGCGATTCTCCCGCCTCAGCCTCCTGAATAGTGGGGATTACAGGCATGTGCCACCATGACCAGCGCTAATTTTTTTCTTTTTTCTTTTTTTTTTTTTGAGACGGAGTCTCATTCTGTCGCCCAGGCGGGAGTGCAGTGGCACGATCTCCGCTCACTGCAAACTCCACCTCCTGGGTTCACGCCATTCTCCTGCCTCAGCTTCCAGAGTAGCTGGGACTACAGGCGCCTGCCACCACGCCCGGCTAAGTTTTTTGTATTTTTGGTAGAGATGGGATTTCACCATGTTAGCCAAGATGGTCTCAAACCACTGACCTCAGGTGACCCACCTGCCTCGGCCTCCCAAAGTGCTAGAATTATAGGTTTGAGCCACCGTGCCTGGCGTCTTCCAAAATTTCATCCAAGATTTTTCTCCCACATTCCTGACATGCCTGTTGAACAAGTCCACTTAATTGTGCCATAGCTACTCGAAAGTCAGTATGTCTAATACTAAATACACAATCTCCCTTCCCCATACTTTTCCTTCTCCTGTATTCTCTAATCTTAATAAATTGGATGACCCATTTACAGTCCAATCAGGAACACAGCCATCCCACAATACTCTCTCTCACACACACAATTGTGTAGCCTACATTTTTTAAATCTCTTATTTTTCTTTCCTCTTCTCCATTCCCATGTCTTAGGATAGGTCCTCATCATTTCTCAACTTATTCCTGTAGTAGATTCCTGTATTAGTCCATTTTCATGCTGCTAATAAAGACATACCCGAGACTGGGCAATTCACAGAAGAAAGAGGTTTAATGGACTTACAGTTCCACGTGGCTGTGGAGGCCTCACAACCATAGCAGAAGGTGAAAGGCATGTCTCACATGGAGGTAGACAAGAGAAGAAAGCTTGTGTAGGGAAACACCCCATTATAAAACCATCAGATCTCATGAGACTTATTCCCTACCATGAGAACAGCATGGGAAAGACCTGCTCCCATGATTCAATTACCTCCCACTGGGTCCCTCCCACAACACATGGGAATTCAAGATGAGATCTGGGTGGGGACACAGCCAAACCATATCATTCTGTCCCTGGCCCCTCCCAAATCTCCACACTTCAAAACCAACCATGCCTTCCCAACAGTCCCCCCAAAGTCTTAATTCATTTCAGCATTAACTTAAAAGTCCACATTCCAAAGTCTCATCTGAAACAAGACCAGTCCTTTCTGCCTATGAGCCTGTAAAATCAAAAGCAAGTTAGTCACTTCCTAGACACGAAGGGGGTACAGGCATTGGGTAAATACAGGCATTCTAAATGGGAGAAATTGGCCAAAACAAAGGGCCTACAAGCCCCATGCAAATCCAAAATCTAGCAGGAGAGTCCATTTTTTTTTTTTTTTTTTTTTTTGAGACAGAGATTTGCTCTTCTTGCCCAGGCTGGAGTGCAACGGTGCGATCTTGGCTCACTGCAACCTCTGCCTCCCAGGTTCAAGTGACTCTCCTGCCTCGGCCTCCTGAGTAGCTGAAACTACAGGTGCATGCCACCACGACTGGCTAATTTTGTACTTTTAGTAGAGATAGAGTTTCACCATGTTGGCCAGGCTGGTCTCAAACTCCTGACCTCAGGTGATCCGCCTGCCTCAGCCTCCCAAAGTGCTGGGATTACAGGCATGAGCCACTGTGCCTGGACAGCAGTCAAATCTTAAAGGTCCAAAATGACCTTCTTTGACTCCACGTGTCACATCCAGGTCATGCTGATGCAAGAGATGGGCTCCCATGGTCTTGGGCAGCTCCACCCCTGTGGTTTTGTGCGGTACAGCCTCCCGGCTGCTTTCATGGTCTGGCAATGAGTGTCTGTGGCTTTTCCAGGTGCATGGTGAAAACTGTTGGTGGATCTACCATTCTGGGGTCTGGAGGACAGTGGCCCTCTTCTCATAACTCCACTAGGCTGTGCCCCAGTAGAGACTCTGTGTGGGGTCTCTGACCCCACATTTCCCTGCTGCACTTCCCTAGCAGAGGTTTTCCATGAGGGCCCTGCCCCTGCAGCAAACTTCTGCCTGGGCATCCAGGCGTTTCCATACATCCTCTGAAATCTGGGTGGAGGTTCCCAAACCCCAGTTCTTGACTTCTGTACACCCGCAGGTTCAATACCACATGGAAGCTGCCAAGGCTTGAGGCTTGCACCCTCTGAAGCCACAGCCTGAGCTCTATGTTGGCCCCTTTCAGCCACAGCTAGAGCAGCTGGGACACAGGGCACCAAATCCCTAGGCTACTCACAGCATGGGGACCCTGGACCCAGCCCACGAAACCATTTTTACCTCCTAGGCCTCCAGGCTTATGATGGGAAGGGGCTGCCATGAAGACCTATGACATGCCCTGAAGACATTTTCCCCATGGTCTCGGGGGATTAACAGTTGGCTCCCCATTACTTAAGTAAATTTCTGCAGCCAGCTTGACTTTCTCCTCAGAAAATGGGATTTTCTTTTCTTTTTTTTTTTTTTTTTTTTTTTTTTTGAGACGGAGTCTCGCTCTGTCGCCCAGGCCGGACTGCGGACTGCAGTGGCGCAATCTCGGCTCACTGCAAGCTCCGCTTCCCGGGTTCACGCCATTCTCCTGCCTCAGCCTCCCGAGTAGCTGGGACTACAGGCGCCCGCCACCGCGCCCGGCTAATTTTTTGTATTTTTAGTAGAGACGGGGTTTCACCTTGTTAGCCAGGATGGTCTCGATCTCCCGACCTCATGATCCACCCGCCTCGGCCTCCCAAAGTGCTGGGATTACAGGCGTGAGCCACCGCGCCCGGCGGGATTTTCTTTTCTATCGCATTGTCAGGCTGCAAATTTTACAAACTTTTATGCTCTGTTTCCCTTTTAAAACTGAATGCCTTTAACAGCACTCAAGTCACCTCTTGAATGCTTTGTTGCTTAGAAATTTATTCTGCCAGATACCCTAAATCATCTCTCTCAAGTTCAAAGTTCCACAAATCTCTAGGATGGGGCAAAATGCTGCCAGTCCCTTTGCTAAAATATAACAAGAGTCACCTTTGCTCCAGTTCCCAAGAAGTTCCTCATCTCCATCTGAGACCACCTTAGCCTGGATTTCATTGTCCATATCATTATTAGCATCTTGTTCAAAGCCATTCAACAAGTCTCTAGGGAGTTTCAAACTTTCCCACATTTTCCTGTCTTCTTCTAAGCCCTCCAAACCATTTCAACTTCTGCCTGTTACCCAGTTCCAAAGTCGCTTCCACATTTTCAGGTATCTTTTCAGCAGCACCCTACTCTACTGGTACCAATTTACTGTATTAGTCCATTTTCATTCTGCTGATAAAGACATACTCAAGACTGAATAATTTATATGGGAAAAGGGGTTTATTGGACTTATAGTTCCATGCGGCTGGGGAAGCCTCATAATCATGGTGGAAGGCAAGGAGGAGCAAGTCACATCTTAAGTGTATGGCAGCAGGCAAAGAGAGAGCTTGTGCAGGGAAACTCTACCTTATAAAGCCATCAGATCTTGTGAGACTTATTCACTATCATGAGAACAGCATGGGAAAGACCTGGCCTCATGATTCAATTATCTCCCAATGGGTCCCTCCCACAACATGTGGAAATTCAAGATGAGATTTGGGTGGGGACACAGCCAAGCCATATCAGTGAAAATTAATAGAGAATAGAAAAACAATATAGAAAATCAAGAAATCCAAAAGCTGGTTCTTTGAAAAGATCCACAAAATTGATAAACCTTTAGCTAGTTTGACCAAGAAAAAATTAAGACTCAAATTATTAGAATCAGAAACTTAAAAGTTGTAGGGCATTACTACCAACTGTGGAGAAATAAAAAGGATTATAAAGTGGACGATTTTTTTTTTTTTTGAAATATACGGACAACCAAAACTGAATCAAAACAAACCAAGAAAAAAAAGACAATATAGATAGACCTCTTAAAGAGCAGGTTAAGTCCGTAATCAAAAACCCACCTATGAAGCTAAGCCCAGGCCCAGATGGCTTTACCACTAAATATTATCAAGCATTCAAAAAGAATTAGCACCAGTTCTTTACAAACTCTTCCAAAATAACAGAAAAGGAGGAAAATCTTCCCAGCCCATTTCATGAATCCAGTATTATGCTGACACCAAAACCAGATAAAGATATCACAAGAAAGAAAAGCTACAGATAAATATATCTTATAACTATAGATGCAAACTCCTCAACCAAATACCTGCAAACCAAAGCTAGAAACATATAAAAAGAATTATATACCATGATCAAGTAGGTTACGTTTTTTTGAGACAGTGTCTCTCTCTGTCACCCAGGCTGGAGTAAAGTGGTGTGGCTATACCTCACTGCAGCCTCTAACTCCTGGGCTCAAGGCATCCTCCTGCCTCAGCCTTCTGAGTAGCTATGTAGCTATGTGTACAGGATCTCACTATGTTGCCCAGGCTGTCTCGAATTCCTGGCTTCAAGTAATCCTCCTGCCTTGGCCTCCCAAAGCATTGAGATTACAGGCATGACCCATCACTCCCAGCCCGAAGTAGGATTGATCCTAGGCAAGGAAGATTGGATTAATATCCAAAAATCAATGTAATATATCCTACTGATAGAATAAAAGACAAAAGACACACAATTATCTCAATGAATACAGAGAAAGCATTTTTAAAAAAAAATCCCACACATTTTCATGTAAAAGAATTCAATAGGAATAGAACAGAATTTCCTAAACCTGATAAAAAGCATCTATGAAAAACCCACAGCTAACATCACACTTAATCGGCAAAGACTCATGCTTTCCTACTAAGGACAAGAATAAGACAAGAATATCTACTCCCACCATTTCTGTTCAACATTGTACTGGAGGTTCTTGCCAGGGCGATTAGGCCAGAAAAATAAATACAAGAATCCAGGCCACCATGGCTCACGCCTATAATCCCAGCACTTTGGGAGGCTGAGATGGGTGGATCACAAGGTCAGGAGTTCGAGACCAGCCTGGCCAACATGGTGAAACCCCATCTCTACTAAAAATACAAAAATTAGCCTGGCATGTGGCAGATGCCTGTAATCCCAGCTACTGGCAGATGCCTGTAATCAAGCTGGGGCAGGAGAATCGCTTGAACCCAGGCAGCAGAGGTTGCAGTGAGCTGAGATCGCACCACTGCACTCTAGCCTGGGCAGTAGAGCAACACTCTGTCTCAAAAAAAAAAAAAAAAAAAAAAAAAAAAAAAAATCCAGATTGGCAAGAAACTAGTAAAACCCTCTCTTCACTATAACATGATCTCATAAACAGAAAATCCTAAGTCGTCCACTAAAAAACCAGAAACTATTAGAACTAATAAATGAGTTCAGCAACATGGCAGTATGTAAGATCAATATACAAAATCAATTCTATTTCTATACACTTTAAGTGAAAAATCTGAAAATAGAACTGAGAAAAAATCTTCATTCACATCATCTAGAAGAATAACATACTCAAAAAAATATTTAACAAAAGAAATATAAAACTCCTCAGAAAACTATAAAACATTGTTAAGAGAAATTGAAAAATATCTAAATAATTGAAAAAAAATCCATGTTTATAGATTGGAAGACTTAACATTGTTAAGATGGCGATACTCCCCAAACAAATCTACAGATGCAACATAATCCCTATCAGAAGCTGATTTCTTCATAGAAATTGATAAGCTGATTATAAAATTCATATAGAATTTCAAGAGATGCAGAATAGCCAAAACAATCATGAAAAAGAATAAAGTAGGAGGACTCATACTTCTCGATTTTGAAACTTGCTTTAAAGCAAGAGTAATCAAGACAATGTGGCACAAGGACAAACATACACATGAGTAGAATAGGCTTAAGACTACAAAATAAGCCCAGAGATCTCTGGTTAACTGATTTTTGACAAGGATGCCAAGACTATTAAATGGAGGAAGAATGTTATTTTCAATAAATGGTGCTAGGACAACTGAACATCCACATGCAAAAGAATGAAATTAGAGCCTTACCTCACACACTATATAAAAATTAACCCAAGGCCAGGTGCGGTGGATTATGCCTCTAATTCCAGCACTTTGGGGGGCTGAAGTGGGATGATCGCTTGAACCCAGAAGTTTGAGACCAGCCTGTGCAACACGGTGAGATCCTGTCTCTACAAAAAATAAAAAAATTAGTCAACAGTGGTGGCACACACCTGTAGTCCTAGCTACTCAGAGGTTGAGGTGGGAGGATTGCTTAAACCCAGGAGGCTGAGACTGCAATGAGACAAGATCATGCCACTGCACTCCACCCTACATGACACAGCACAACTCTGTCTCAAAAAAAAAAAAAATTAACTCAAAATGGATCAAATACCATTATATAAGAGCAAAACTATAAAACTCTTAGAAGAACTAAACGTAAATCTTCATGACTTTAAATTTAGGAAAGGATTCTTAGATATGACACCAAAAGTACAAACAAAAAAGAAAATAAAATCGGTAAGTTGGATGGACTTCATTGAAATTAAAAACTTTTGTACTTAAAAGGACACTATCAGGATGTCCTGGCGAGTCCCAAGCTGAAGGAGGCGGCTCCAGGCAGTGCGGAGCGCTGGCGGCGGGCCCAGGCTGCAGCGTGTGCGTGCCCAGGAGACACACACAATCTTGTAGAAAATTTCAGCTGTAGCCCTTGGAGTAGAAGCTGAAATAACAGAAGCTGTACGATGCATTACGGTATTGAAGAAAATTAACTTTTATATTAAATATTTGGAATATAAGGAAATAAGGAAAGGTGGCTGAAAATGGTGCAGAAGAAAATACAAATCACATGCATAATGGATGAAAGGAACTGAGAGGCCACTTTTACAAAGAGAGAGTTTGGATTAATGAAGAAAGCCTATGAACTTAGTGTGCTCTATGACTGTGCATTTTCAACAGCTCTAACAAACTCTTTCAATATGCTAGCACTGATATGGACAAAGTTCTTCTCAAGTATACAGAATATAATTAACCTTATGAAAGCACAACCAGCTCAGATATTGTTGAGGCTCTGAACAAGAAGGAACACAGAGGGTGCGACAGCTCAGACCCTGATACTTCATGTGTGCTAACTCCATATACAGAAGAAAAATAATTAATGAGGAATTTGATAATATGATGCAGAATCATAACATTGCACCTGGTTTGCCACCTCAGAATTTTTCAATGTCTGTCACAGTTCCAGTGAAAAGCCCCAATGCTTTGTCCTACACTAACCCAGGGAGTTCACTGGTGTCACCATCTTTGGCAGCCAGCTCAACGTTAACAGATTTAAACACGCTCTCTCCACCTCAAACCATATTACATAGAAATGTGTCCCCTGGAGCTCCTCAGAGACCACCAAGTACTGGCAATGCAGGTGGGATGTTGGGCACTACAGACTTCACAGTGCCAAATGGAACTGGAAGCAGCCCAGTGGGGAATGAATTTGTAAACTCAAGAGCTTCTCCAAATTTGATTGGAGCTACTGGTGCAAATAGTTTAGGTAAAGTCATGCCTACAAAGTCTCCCCCTCCACCAGGTGGCAGTAATCTTGGAATGAACAGTGGAAAACCAGATCTTCGAGTTGTCATCCCCGCTTCAAGCAAGGGCATGACACCTCCACTAGTAAGTTGAACCTTTCTTCAACTTCATTCTTTAAAACATGTATTTTATACATAGCCTGTAGCTTCCTTTGGAATTTTCTGCGCCAACTGTAGAATCTATACCTATTCCTAATGAATATTTCCATTCAAAATTAGTATTTGAAGGGACAACACTATCTTAAATACACAAAAATCAGATTATGGAAATTTGCTTAATGGTTATTTAAAATTAAAGCTAAATATGAACATGGATGGAACTGGAGGTTATTGTGTTAAATGAAATAAGCCAGGCATGGAAAGATAGATATTGCATGTTCTCACTCATGTGTGGAACCTAAAAAATTTGATCTTGTGGAGATAGAGAATAGAATGATAGCAGATGCTGGGAAGGGTGTGTGGGTGGGAGAAGGGATAAAGAGAGGTTGATTAGTGGGTAAAACCATACACTTAGATAGAACAAATATACCCCTGTATTCAATAGGAGAGAAGGGTGACTATAGTTAGCAACATTGTAGATGAAGTATATTTCAAAGTAGCTAGAAGAGAGGACTTGAAATGTTCCCAACACATAGAAGGGATAAATACTCAGGATAATAGATACCTCAAATACCCTGACCTTGATCATTACACATTCTATGAATGTAACAAATACTCACATGTACCCCATTAATATGTAATACACTTCCAATCAATTTTTAAAAGTAAAATATAGAGAGATTATTATGTTTAATTTTTAATTTTACCAGGCTAGAAGCATTAAACATGACTTATTTATTCTGTTTAAAAAAAAAAAAGGACACTATCAAGAAAATGGAAAAGCCACCCACAGAAAAAGATAAAGTGTTTAGAATTCACATATCTGAAAAGGGACTTGTATTCAGAACATATTAAGCAGTCTTATAACTCAATAATAAAAAGACAACCTAAATAAAATATGGGCAAAGAATCATTAGAGTATGTGAAAGGGTGTTTTACATTTATGTTAGACCTAGCTACTAATGGACTCCCAATAAAGGACATTTTTTAAAAAGAAGTATGATATGTAGACCACTGGCAACAGAATCACCTGGGATGCTTGCTAAAATTGCCAGTTTATGGGTATCTCTGTAGACACAGTGTACCAAGGAGACTGGAGGCAGGGCTCAGGAATCTGCATTCTTCACCGAATCCCTAATCACACTAAAGTTTGAGAACCACTTATATAGAATGTTACTTCACAGAATAATATCTCAGATAGGTCTCATTCTATTTGACATTTTCAAAGAGTTACACTGTCAGTTGGTGGACATTTGTCTAGAATTCTAACACAAGTGATAATAGTGCACAATAACACACAATATTCATTAATGTTGAACAATGGTATCTGTTCTCTGGTAGTATGAAACCTTAGAAAATGGCTTTTCTTTCTATACATGTTATAAATCAATTTTTGTCTTAGAAAAAAAACATAGGCAAAGTACCTGAGCAGACATTTCTCCAAAGAAGATATATAAGTGGCTAATAAACCTTTAAAAAATGCTTGACATCAGTAGTCATCAGGAAAACACAAATCAAAACCACAGTGAGATTTTATTTTACACCCACTAGTATGGCCAGAATTTAAAAGTGAGACAAGTACTAGCAAGTATGCAGAGAAAGTGGAACCTTCATACACTGCTGGTGGGAATATAAAATGATGCAGCCTCCTTGAAAACAGTGTGGCAGGCTTCAAAAAGTTAAAGATATAGTTATCAAATGACCAAGAATTTCACTCCTGTGCATATATCCAAGGAAAATGAAAACATATTTCTACCAGGAAATGTGTAATAAATGTCTATGTCAGCAATATTCATAATAGTCAAAAAGTGGAAACAACCCAAATGCCTACCAACAGATGAAATGATAAAATGTGATTTATACATACACTATTATTAGGCCATAAAAATGGGTGAAGTACTGATAATTGCTAAAACATGGATGAACATTGAAAACATTATCCCAAGTGAAAGAACCCAGTCAAAAGATCAAACAGAACATGAATTCATTCACATGAAAGTCCAGAACAGGGAAATCTATAGAGACAGAAAGCAAACTTAGGACTGAAGTGACGATGTTGGGGGTAAGAGGGTGAGAGCTAAAGAGTATGGGGTTTCTTTTGAGGTTCATTTTGATGAAAATAATCTAAAATTGACTGTGGTAATAGATGCACACATCTGTGAATATAATAAAAATCACTGAATTATACACTTTAAATAGGTGAATTGTAATGTATATAAATTATATCTCAAAGTGATGCTCAATGCTTTGCTTATTTTGCTTGGTTTTTAAAACTATATGGATTTATTACTTTTATTTTAAATATTCATTGTATTGAAAATAATTATTGTGGAAACATTTTATACCAAGAAATCTAATTATTATGAGTATTTTCTTACCATTGTCCCCATTTATTCTTATTTCATATTCTTTGTAGAGTTTTTGTATGTTTTTGATAATTTCCTCCATGTACTGTCGCTCTGATGGCATCTCCCCCTCCAAACTTTTATGCCGATTAAATATCCCAAGCCCAATATCTGCCCAGTTTTCCTGTAAATGTTTAATAATCTTGAGAGTATCGTATTTTGACAGTAGAACATCCCCAGTAAACTCTTCTTTTTTCTCATTCAGGATCTAAAGAGTGAAAGGAAGAGGGAGAGTAGCATATTATCCACTAATGAGTTTATCAAAGTCTACCAGATGCTTATTCCCCAGTGACTCCCAATTATTTTGGAGTTGCATATCCTATTATTATTATGCTCCAAAGAGATGGTATATGACATATATCTTATTTTTAAATTAAAATGAATTTAAACTAATTTTGGTACTCTATGAGATAACCCATAGTTTACCAGGATGAAAATCATTATATTAAATCCTATGTGGTTAAAAAAAAAAAAAAAGTAGTGATAAGCAATTAAGTCCTACAAAGCTAAGCATGTTTAATACTATTGGCTTTAGTAAGGTTGTAATATATCTGTTTACATGATCCCCACTAGACTGGGAAAGTTCCTAGAATATACAAGTTGTATTTTATTCATGTTTTGTTTATCTGTGTAAACCCAAGTCCAAGTCCTGAACATGACATATCAATAAATATTTGTGGAAAAATAAGGTACAATTTATATATATAATTTGGCATTATTTGTGCTCAGATAATAGGAACATTACCCAGCCTTCAATAAGAGTAATTAGCATGGGGAGACAGTGTAGAAGAGCAATTAGGAGTAAGAACTTTGAAACTGGAGAGATCTGGACTCAAATTCTGACTCTGCCACTTACCTTTTATAGATAACTTAGGTAAGTTACTTAACATCCTAGGCTTCGATTTCCACATCTGGGACATGGAGATTATAAGACTTGCATCATAGGGCAGCCATGAAGAGTAAGTAAGATAATATATGGAAAACACATTTTCAGCTCCTCACACAGAGTAAGTGCTTAATAAATGAGAGCTATTACTATTCCTAAATTGAAGAGGTATGACTTTTTTCTATTTTTTCTATGCATGTCAAAACCTCCAGATAAAAAGTAAAAAAAAAAAAAAAAATTCACTAAACTAGACATGTTGTATATAGAACAGGAAATATCTTCAATTCTGAGAATATACTGTTCAAGTTATTCCTAAAGAAAAGAAAATGGTTTGTTGGGATCTTATGAAATTTTATTAGGGAATGATTTTGATAATCACTTTGGAAGTATTTCAATGTCACTTATATTTTCCTTTGTCAGACTACTATAACATGATAGTAATTTGATCAATGAAATCTATTTTCCAAGCTCTGACCCCTTAAAGATTATGTTATTAATGTATAAACAAAATGTGGTATATAAATACAATGGGATATTATTGAACCTTGAAAAGAAAGAAAATTCTGACACTTGCTGCAAAATGGATGAACCCTGAGGACATTATGCTGAGGGAAATAAGCTACTCACAAAAGTAAAATACTGTATGATTCCACTTATATGAGATGCCTAGAGTAGTCACATTCATAAACAGAAAGTAGAATGAGATTGCCCAGGGGGTTGGGGGAGGCAGAAATAGGGACTTACAGTTTAATGGGTACAGAATGTCAGTTTGGGGAAAAGAAAAAGTCCTGGAAATGAATGGTGGTGATGGTTGTACAACAATATAAATATATTTAGGGCAACTGAACTGTATGCTTAAAAATGATTAAAATGGTAAATTTTGTGTTGTATATATTTTACCACAATAAAAAAAGATGTTATTAATTTTAAAAGTCCAATTTGTCCTTAAAAGCCAGATATAGGATAGGCACAAACATTACTTATGTCTGACAATTAGATAATAGCATTGAACTACCCTCACTTATAGGGAGCCGAAGCCCCGTGGGACGGGACCAACTCAGCGCTCCACTTGAGGCTATATGATCAAACAGCAAACTGTTTATCATGAATGCAAGATGTGAACAAACTCACACTGCGCCTGCCACCAAAAGGTTTGCTGAGGGACATCACTCCTTGGCGCTGGGCTCCTTGAAGTTATCTATTGAGAAATCTAGCACCTATTGTTCAAAGGATGCAGTCTCACAAGCCTGCTGTGAACCAAATGGCCCATTGACAATTACTCGACAATCACCGCCCCCCTTTCTCGCTATCTCTTTTACCTAATACATATGGAGCGCTGTGTAAAGCTCAGGGCCCTTGTGCACCAGAGGCAAGGTGCCCCCTGACCCCTTCTTCCAAATATACTCTTTTGTCTCTTGTCTTTTATTCCCACGTTCGCCCCACTTTGTTCAGTCCCCCTAGTTTCGTGCGGGTTACATAGTGGCATCCGAACACAGGACTTCAAGGATGTGAACAAAGAAGGTCTGCTGGAACAGAGGAACTAAAATTGACAAGGCAAACAGTGACCCCGGGATGAGTCTGCCGGCAGCGGATGTAAGGTCAGTGCCCTAAAGAGGTACCGAGAGCAGTGCTTTAAAGAAGTAATGGGAATGGGAAGTTTTCTGAATCAGGGTAACATGGAGCAGAATTTGTCTGTTGAAGAAAAACATTATGTACAGTTGCTTAAAATTTTGTTGAAACGAAATGGTCCTCAGGTTAGTTCTCAGACATTGACTAAGCTGCTGCAGGAGGTTATTACGCATAACCCATGGTTTCCACAGGCAGGCACTCTTGATGTGGAAAATTGGGATAGAGCAGGAGAAGGATTAAAACAGGCTCATCAAAAAGGTCTTAAAGTTGATTCTTCAGTTTTCTCCACGTGGAGTTTAGTTCGTACTGTACTTCTGCCATTATCTCCTTATTATTCTGCAGGACAGCAGGCTGAATCTAAAAATCTGAAAGAATCTGTCGTCCCACCCACAGCTCCAATTGAAAATAAAAACAGGAGAGGGAGGATAAAAAGTGGCCTATACCGCCTCTTCCAGTTGCAGAAACATCTGTACGGCCTCGTTTGGTAGCAGAAATAGAAACCCCAATACAAAGAATTTTACGCTGTGCTGCCATAGCTGGAGAGCCCTTAGGACCTTGTGCTTTTCCTAGTTCCGTAAGGCCTGATCCAAATAATCCACAGCAGGTTATTCATGAACACACTCCACTAGAGTTTAAGTTGTTAAAGGAATTAAAAGTAAGTGTGATAAATAATAGCGTACAGAGCCCATTCACCTTAAGATTGCTAGAATCTGTGTTTGGTGCTATGCGTCTTTTACCCTTTGATGAGAAACACTTGGCGTGAACTTGCTTGTCTGCTAGCGCATATCTGATATGGAATTTAAATTGGCAAGAAATGTCTGCAGACCAGGCTAGACAGAACCATGCTGCTGGAAATGGAGACATTACAGAGGATATGCTGTTAGGTAATAGCCCTTATTCAGACCTGGAATGTTAAATGGCACTCCCAGATGCTGCTTATCAGCAGTGTGTACAGGCCGCTAAATGTGCCTGGGCCACAATTCCTGAAGAGGGAGTCCCAGTACAATCTTTTTTACATACATGTAAGTGTCACAGGAACCCTATGTGCAAGTACTTGCAAGATTACAAGAGGCAGTGAAGCGTCAGATTCCTCATACCGTGGCCGCAGAAATGCTAACCTTAACTCTAGCTTTTGAGAATGCAAATGCGGATTGGAAATGTGCACTGGCACTGGTGAGGTGTACAAAAAACTTGGGAAATTTTCTCAGAGCTTGTCAGGATGTAGGAACTGAGCTTCATTGCTCTGCAGTGTTAGCACAAGCAATGGCTAATTTGGCAGTTGACAAATCTAAAAGGAGCCAAAGGTCAAGCCCTAAAATGGGAAAATGTTATAATTGTGGAAAAACTGGACATTTTAAAAAGGAATGCCGCCATATGTTAGGATAGAAAGGACCTTACAATGCTGTGCCCCACCCAACGGAAAAAACGCAGGACTTTGTCCTTGCTGTAACAAAGGAAATCAATGGGCCAATCAGTGCTGCTCAAAATTCATCAGAATGGCACTCTCCTGCCGGGTAACGAGACAAGGGCCTGGACTTGGGCCCCACACACAGTAAGAGTATTCCTAGTCCAGACCTCAACCCCGTTTCAGGGATGGGTTCCCGGAGGTACATTGATTCCCTCACCCTACTCCAGGTGGACAAACTTATTTTATTGATGGCCCTTCCAAAGGTTGTGCCACTATCTGTGGACCAAAACATACTCAAACAATAATGACCTCTGGGGTTTCAGCTCAACACTCAGAGCTAATTACAGTCATTCAGGTTTTAGAGCTCACAGCTTCAGATCCTATCAACATTGTCTGTGATTCAGCTTATGCTGTAAATGTAGCCGGTCGCATAGAAACTGCTACAATTAAAAGTATACTAGACCCAGAACTGCTGAATTTATTTTTAAGACTTCAACAAGTTATTCGCTCTCGTGCAGCTTCTCTTCACATTTCTCTTATTTGCTCTCACACACAACTTTCTGGGCCACTATCTCTAGGTAATGAGAAGCAGACAAATTGATTGGTTCTGTGTTTCAGCAAGCTCAAGTGTCTCACACGCTGCTGCACCAAAATACTTCTGCCCTTACTCGCCTGTTCCATTTATGTCACAGCCAAGCTAGGGCTATAATACAAGCCAGTCCTACTTGCCAGCATGTCTCCCTGGAGCCACACCTGTAGAATGCTGTAACCTATGAGGTTTGGCTCCAAATGAAATTTGGCAAATGGATGTTACACACATAGCAACCTTTGCTAAGCTCAGCTATGTTCATGTGACTATAGACACTTATTCTCATATGCTGCATGCTACATGCCAAACAGGTGAGACAGCTGGTCATGTACAGTGACATTGTCTGTCATCAGTTGCTCATATGGGATACCTGAACAATTAAAACTGACCATGGATCTGCTTATACTAGTATGCTTTTCAAAATTTCTTACAGCTTTGGGCTATAACCCACAAAATAGGAATTCCTTATAATCCTAGAGGACAAGGCATTATAGAGTGGGCACATCAAACATTACAATGCATGTTGAAAAGACAAAAAGGGGGTATAGGAAGCCAACTGCCACCTCAATCAAAACTATATTTAGCTTTATTTACTTTAAATTTTTTGACTCCTGGTACAAATGATAAGACTCCAGCAGAAAGACACTGGCAAGTGTTAGAGGAAAAGAGGAAAATTTATCCGAAAATGTTACGGATATCTGCAGAAGAAGGACAATGGAAAGGTCCAGTGGATTTACTGACGTAGGGACAAGGGTATGCTTGTGTTTTTACAGGAGATGGAGAAACCATGTGGGTGCCCTCAAGGTGCGTGTGGCCATGGAATGGGAGACTGGAGGAACCCAGGGTGGCCAACCATGGGCCCGGTCCCTCCGGTACGAGCCATGAGCCAGCTGAGCCTGAGTGCAAAGACGGAGAGAAGGCTGACAAGGGTCACGATGACATCAACCCTCATAACCTGGGGACAACTCAAGAAAACCATGCAGGAAGCTGAGAAACTACTGGAGCATCAGGGACAGGCAAAAACCCCTGATTCCATATTCTTGGCCATGTTAGCCATAATGTCCTGTGCAGTATGTTTTCCCTGTGCAGAGGCAAAAACATACTGGGCATATGTTCCCAATCCCCCAGCAGTACGACCTAAACTTTGGAGTGAAACTCCTCCTGAGATTTGTCATGATCAGGGAGAGTAGGCTCCAGGACCCCTAACTCCCCCTGACATAGAACAGTTAGATTCTCAGAATAATGTCATTAATTATACCTTCCACTGGAAGGACTTCCTTTGTGTATCACTACACAGACATCGCTCAGCCATAGCTGTCTTACAATTCAAGCTCAAACATGGTTGAGTCACTATGGAAAAATTATGTACTTATTAGGTCTTGGTTCTATTAATGTAACTGGTGTGCTCACCAACCATTCCTGGCCCAGTCGCCCTAATTGTGCTGATTATACAGAATAGATTCCATTCAATAGCTCCTATCCCCTTCTGTGGGCCCAGTGTCTTGGTCCACTGGCTAGAAAACAATCTATGGTAACTGGAGACATTGTGGATTGGAGACCTAAAGGTCAATTAGATGGAAAAGATGAAAATCAGAAATCATAGCACAAACTTCGCTGGCATTGGTAGCAAGCTTTTAATGCTTCTTCTTTATACAACACCGAGATCCAATCCCAGTCTGCCGCCCAGATTGCTTGGCATGGAGCAGGCTTTAGCCCACCTTTTCCTCTGGCATTATCCAGGGAGGAAAGGACCAATTCAAGAGACGATATAGAAGGCAGCACTCCCATTTATGAATGGCAACATCTGGGTTGGAATATTATCCAATAATAGCAATGGTAAGCGACACAGTCGCTTTTTTTGGCAGCTAGGAAGGACCAGCTCCAGGTAAACAATACCCAATTGACCTGCAAATCTTGCCAGTTATATCACTGCATTAATCATAGCACATTGCAAACACATAATATCCCTACTTTCAGGTTTTTGGTTTTTAGGTCGCATCCCTGGGCTACGGATTCCTGTTAATCTGTCTGAGCCTTGGGCTGCCACACCTGCTTTGCATTTTGTGAAACTTCTAACTCAGCTTACTCATCGTGTCCTAGAGCCTTAAGCATGATAATTTTTGCTATTGTTTCCTTGGTCACACTAATAACTTCTGTTGTGATGTCCTCTGTAGCTTTGCATGATTCTATTCAAAGAGCTCAGTACCTGAAGAAGTGGATGCACACAGCCGACCAAGCGTGGCCACTTCAGAATAAAATTAACACTGAGTTACAAATTGAAGTGGTAATGTTAAAATCCACGGTCCTATGGTTAGGGGAACAAGTACAAAGCTTGCAGTTGCAGCAGCAAATGCATTGTCATTTTAATCACACTCATATTTGTGTCACCAACGTAGAATATAACCAAAGTATCTGTGGGACCTTGTGAAAGCCGATTTGCCGGTAGCTTTCACATCCAACATCACCTTTGTTTTATTTTTATGTATTTATTTATTTATTTATTTACTTATTTTTGAGATGGAGTCTCACTCTGTGGCCCAGGCTGGAGTGCAGTGGCACGATCTTGGCTCACTGCAACCTCTGCCTCTCAGGTTCAAGCAATTCTCCAGCCTCAGCATCCTGAGTAGCTGGGATTATAGTCACCTGCCACCATGCCTGGCTAATTTTTGTATTTGTAGTAGAGACAGGGTTTCACCATACTGGTCAGGCTGGTCTTGAACTCCTGACCTGAGGTGATCCACCCACCTCAGCCTCCCAAAGTGCTGGGATTACAGGCATGAGCCACAATGCCCGGCCATTACCTTTAATATTGGTGAATTGCAAAACAAAATTCTTGATTTAAATAGGTAAACTCAAGAATTTCAGCCTTCTTTTGAAGACTGGACTGAATTCCAGCAAGGCCTGGAGAGCCTCAACCCTTGGACCTATCTGAAGCACCACCTTAACATCTTATATGTAGTTCTTGGAATAATGTTGTTTTGTCTCTGTCTTCTGTTCATAGTCTGTAAAATCGGATGGACCGCCAATTGGAAAATGAGAGCTGCCCAGCCTGGCCTTACATTCTTTCAATTAATACATAAACAGAAAGGGGGATATGTAGGGAGCCAAAGGCCTGTGGGATGTGACCAACTCAGCATTCCACTGGCGGCTATATGATCAAACAGCAAACTTTATCATGAAGGCAGGATGTGAGCAAACTCACACTGCGCCTGCCACCAAAAGGTTTGCTGAAGGACATCACTCCCTGCCACCAGGCTCCTTGAAGTTACCTACTGAGAAATCTAGCACCTATTGTTCAAAGGATGCAGTCTCGCAAGCCTGCTGAGAACCAAATGGCCCACTGACAATTACCCGACAATCACCCGCCCCCTTTCTCGCTATCTCTTTTGCCTAATAAATACAGAGGGCTTTGTAAAGCTCAGGGTCCTTGTCCACTAGAGGCAAGGTGCCCCCGACCCCTTCTTCCAAATATACTCTTTTGTCTTTTATTCCCACATTTGCCCCCCTTTGTTCAGTCCCCCTAGGTCTGTGCGGGTTACACTCACTGCCACCCAAGGAGATTTTCCTAATTTCTTTCCTTTTTTTTTTTTTTTTTTCAGTGAGTGTCTCTTTTATAGATGAAGAAGACATATGTTGGGAGAAACAAAGCTTTACAATGTAATATACAGTAGAGCTGTCATTTTAAGCTACACATGAAAGCAAAAGTTACTAATCTTTACCCTGCATAAGCAAATATATATTCAAAGAAGAAAAAAGTGTAAAGCTGATATCTACCGAGCTTTTTGTGTTCAACATAGACTTTTTTTTTTTTACTCTAAGTTTGGGGATACATGTGCAGAATGTGCAGGTTTGTTACACAGGTATACGTGTGCCATGGTGGTTTGCTGCACCTATCAGCTCATCATCTAGGTTTTAAGCCAAGCATGCATTAGCTATTTGTCCTAATGCCCTCCTTCCCCTTGCCCCTGCACCCTCCAACAGGCTCCAGTGTGTGGTTTTTCCCCTTCCTGTGTCCATGTGTGCTCATTGTTCAACTCCCAGTTATGAGTGAGAACAAGCAGTGTTTTGTTTTCTGTTCCTGTGTTAGTTTGTTGAGGATGATGGCTTCCAGCTTCATCCATGTCCCTGCAAAGGACATGATCTCATTCCTTTCTATGGCTGCATGGTATTTCATGGTGTATATGTACCACATTTTCTTTATCCAGTCTACCATTGATGGGCATTGGGTTGGTTCCATGTCTTTGCTGTTGTAAATAGTGCTGCAATAAATATACATGTGCACGTGTCTTTACAGTAGAATGATTTATCTTCCTTTGGGTATATACCCAGTAATGGGATTGCTGTCAAATGGTATTTCTAGTTCTAGATCCTTGAGGCATCACTACATTGTCTTCCACAATGGTTGAACCAATTTACATTCCCACCAACAATGTAAAGGCATTCCCATTTCTCCACAGCCTCACCAGCATCTATTGGTTCTTGACTTTTTAATAATCACCATTCTGACTGGCATGAGATGTATCTCATTGTGGTTTTGATTTGCATTTCTCTAATTATCAGTGATGTTGAGCTTTTTTTTTCTTCATGTTTGTTGGCCACATAAATGTCTTCTTTTGAGAAATGTCTGTTCATATCCTTTGCCCACTTTTTGAGGGGGTTGTTCATTTTTTTTTCTTGTAAATTTGTTTAAGTTCCTTATAGATTCTGGATATTAGACCTCTGTCAGATGGATAGATTGCAAAACTTTTCTCCCATTCTGTAGGCTGCCTGTTCACTCTGATGATAGTTTATTTTGCTATGCAAAAGGTCTTTAGTCTAATTAGATCCCATTTGTCAATTTTGGTTTTTGTTGCAATTGCTTTTGGCATTTTCATCATAAAATCTTTGCCCATGCCTATGTCCTGAATGGTATTGCCTAGATTTTCTTCTAGGGTTTTTATTGTTTGGGATTTTAAAGTCTTTAATCCATCTTGAGTAAATTTTTATATAAGATGTAAGGAAGGGGTCAAGTTTCAGTTTTCTGCATATGACTAGCCAGTTTTCCTAGCACCATTTATTAAACAGAACCTTTTCCCCATTGCATGTTTTTGTCAGGTTGGTCAAATATCAGATGGTTGTAGATGTGTGGTGTTATTTCTCAGGTCTCTGTTTGTTTTATTCCATTGGTCTATATGTCTGTTTTGGTACCAGTACCATGACGTTTTGGTTACTGTCATCTTGTAGCATAGTTTGAATCAGGTAGCATGATGCCTCCAGCTTTGTTCTTTTTCTTAGGATTGTCTTAGCAATATGCGCTCTTTTTTGGTTCCATATGAAATTTAAAGTAGTCTTTTCTAATTCTGTGAAGAATGTCAATGCTAACTTGATGGGAAAAGCATTGAATCTATAAATTACTTTGGGCAGTATGGCCATTTTCGCAATATTGATTTTTCCTATCCATGAGGATGGAATGTTTTTCCATTTGTTTCAGTTCTCTCTTATTTCCTTGAGCAGTGTTTTGTAGTTCTCCTTGAAGAGGTCCTTCGCATCCCTTATTGGCTGTATTCCTAGGTATTTTATTCTCTTTTTAGCAGCTATGAATGGGAGTTAATCCATGATTTGGCTCTCTGCTTGTATATTGTTGGTGCATAGAAATGCTTGTGATTTTTGCACGTTGATTTTGTTTCCTGTGATTTTGCTGAAGTTGCTTATCAGCTTAAGGAGTTTTGGGGCTGAGACGATGGGGTTTTCTAAACATAGAATCATGTCAACTGCAAACAGAGATAATTTGACCTCTACCCTTCCTATGTGAATACTCTCTATTTCTTTATCTTGCCTGATTGTCCTGGCCAGAACTTCCAATACTATGTTGAATAGGAGAGGTGAGAGGGTACCCTTGTCTTTTCAAAGGGAATGCTTCCAGATTTTGCCCATTCAGTATGATATTGGCTGTGGGTTTGACATAAATAGCTCTTATTATTTTGAGATATGTTCTATCAATACCTAGTTTATTGAGAGTTTTTAACATAAAGGGATGTTGAATTTTGTGAAAGGCCTTTTCTGCAACTACTGAGATAATCATGTGGGTTTTGTCATTGGTTCTGTTTATGTGATAGATTACATTTATTGATTTGTGTATGTTGAATCACCCTTGCATCCCAGGGATAAAGCCGACTTGATCATGGTGGATAAGATTTTTGATGTGCTGCTGGATTCGGTTTGCCAGTATTTTATTGAGGATTTTCGCATCAATGTTCATCAGGGATACTGGCCTGAAGTTTTCTTTTTTTTGTTGTGTCTCTGCCAGGTTTTGGTATCAGGATGATGCTGGCCTCATAAATGAGTTAAGGAGGAGTCCCTCCTTTTCAATTGTTTGGAATAGTTTCAGAAGAAATGGTAACAGCTCCTCTTTGTACCTCTGGTAGAATTTGGCTGTGAATCTGTGTGGTCCTTGGCTTTTTTTGGTTGGTAGGTTATTAATTACCAAGCAAATGGAAAGCAAAAAAAGCAGGGGTTGCAACACTAGTCTCTGACAAAATAGACCTTAAACCAACAAAGATCAAAAAAGACAAAGAAGGGCATTACATAATGGTAAAGGGATCAATTCAATGAAAGAGCTAACTATCCTAAATATGTATGCACCCAACACAGAAGCACCCAGATTCATAAAACAAGTTCTTAGAGACCTACAAAGAGACTTAGACTCCACAATAGTAGTGGGAGACTTTAACACCCCACTGTCAATATTAGACAGATTGATGAGACAGAAAATTAACAAGGATATTTCGGACTTGAACTCAGCTCTGGATCAAGTAGATCTAATAGACATCTACAGAACTCTCAACCCCAAATCAACAAATCTTCTCAGTGCCACATGGCACTTATTCTAAAATCATCCACACAATTGGAAGTAAAACACTCCTCAGAAAATGCAAAAGAACTGAAATCATAACAAACAATCTCCCAGACCACAGTGCAATCAAATTAGAACTCAGGATTAAGAAACTCACTCAAAACCATACAACTGCATGGAAATTGAACAACCTGCTCCTGAATGACTCCTGGGTAATAATGAAATTAAGGCAGAAATCAAGAAGTTCTTTGAAACCAATGAGAACAAAGAGACAACACACCAGAATGTCTGGGACACAGCTAAAGCAGCGTTAAGATGGAAATTTATAGCACTAAATGCCCACATCAGAAAACTAGAAGGATCTCAAATCAACACCCTAACATCACAATTAGAATAACTGGAGAAGCAAAAGCAAACAAATCCAAAAGCTAGCAGAAGGCAAGAAACAACTAAGATCAGAGCAGAACTGAGGGAAATAGAGATGTGAAAAACCCTTCAAAGAATCAATGAATCCAGGAGCTATTTTTTTTGAAAAAATTAACAAAATAGACCACTAGCTAGACTAATAAAGAAGAGAGAAGAATCGAATAGACACAATAAAAAATGATAAAGGAGAAATCACTACTGATCCCACAGAAATACAAACTACCATCAGAGAATACTATAAACACCTCTATGCAAATAAACTAGAAAATCTAGAAGAAACGGATAAATTCCTGGACACATCACCCTCCCAAGACGAAACCAGTAAGAAGTTGAATCCCTGAACAGACCAATAACAAATTCCTGATTTCTTTTCTAGCAGCCTAACTTAATTTGACCCAAAAATCTGAAATAGAACTGAGAATATTTAAGCATATTTTTTAAAGTCCCTGAGCACTTGCTTTTTTCCTTGTTGTTCATAAAACTTAACATTGCATTTTTTTTTTTTGAGATGGAGTCTTGCTGTGTTGCCCAGGCTGGAGTGCAGTGGTGCAATCTCGGCTCACTGCAACCTGTGACTCCCTGGTTCAAGTGATTCTCCTGCCTCAGCCTCTAAGTAGCTGGAATTACAGGTGTGAGCCACCGTGCCCGGCCCCTAATATGGCATTTTTAAAGAATGAGATGTGGTCGGGCATGGTGACTCACACCTGTAATCCCAACACTTTGGGAGGCCGAGGTGGGTGGATCACTTCAGGTCAGGAGTTCAAGACCATCCTGGCCAACATGGTGAAACCTTGTATCTACTACAAATACAAAAATTAGCCAAGCGTGGTGGCACATGCCTGTAATCCTAGCTACTTGGGAGGCTGAGGCAGGAGAATCGCTTGAACTCAGGAGGTGGAAGTTGTAGTGAACCAAGATCACACTACTGCGCTCCAGCCTGGGCGACAGTGAGTGAGACAACGTCCCAAAAAAAAAAAAGGATGGGATGTGCCTCAGTTGTAGGTCCGGAATGCCAAGTTTACAATCAGCACTTTGATTGCCAAGCTCTTTATTAAAAAGTCTTACCTTCTGCCACTGTTTGAAGTCTAAAAGAACTGAATTAAATATATTTCCCTTATTAGGGGATAAAATGTCTTTTTCACTGAAAAGAAGAAAAAAAAAAAGAGAAACATCTCAGAACAAGACATAAACAAGATCATCAGTTCACACACTAAAGACTAAACAACTAACATATTTCTCCTCAATAATTTTGAAGCATGCCTTCCAGGTCCAGCCCCTCTCCCCACAGGTATTTATCATTAAATTTGTAAACATAAATTCAGATTCTATTCAGACCTGAGCAATCAAGTTACAGGGCCATGGGCCACAAGAGTATTTTTTTTAAAGGGTGGTCTCTTGAGTCTTGAGAATTAAAAACCAGATCATTATCAGAAGATCTGTTGAATGCAGCTGTCAAAGCACTATATAAATAGAAAGAAAGCCTTTACAGTGATTAAGACTCAACATTTAAGCCAGAAATCCCAACTTCTGGTAGAAAACAATTTCCTTTAATGGCTCTGAAGTCTCACAAGGTGAAAGCTATTGATAAATAAGCTTCTGAAGCTAAAGAGACAAGAACTATGGCCACCCGTGCACACCTCCCAGCTAAGAATCAACAAACAATAGAAATGGGTACACGGCAGGAGCAGCCAGCTTGGAGACATACCAGCTTCAGCTTCCAGAACTTCCAAATCTACTAATGGGGAAACCTTTAAGGGGGTATGAAAAACTGAAACCATTATTCTCAATTTGAAATGGAAATGCTACCTAACAGACAAAGCATCTTAAAATTTAAAAAAAAAAAAAAACCTTAGAAATCATCTAGTCCAGGCCTCAACAGACAAAGCATCTTAAAGTTAAAAAACAACAACAACACAACAACAACAAACAAACAAACAAACAAAAACCTTAGAAATCATCTAGTCCAGGCTGGGCATGGTGGCTCATGCCTGTAATCCCAGCACTTTGGGAGGCCTAGGTGGGTGGATCTCCTAAGGCCAGGAGTTCGAGATCAGCCTGGCTAACATGGTAAAACTCTGTCTGTACTAAAAATACAAAAATTAGCCGGGTGTGGTGGCGCATGCCTGTAATCCCAGCTACTTGGGAGGCTGAGGTGGGAGAATCGCTTGAACCCAGGAGATGGAGGCAGCAGTGAGCCAAGATTGCGCCACTGCACTCCAGCTTGGGTGACAGAATAAGACCCAGTCTCAAAAAAAAATAAAATTAAATTTAAAAAAAGAAATTTAGTCCAGACTGCATCCAAAGCATAGATTCCCACTAACCTTGGCTGTGATTTAGCCATCTGACCTCAACTTAACTACTTTATTAGCAGCTTCTTTCATTGTCAGATTTCTCTAATCATTGCAAAGTATGATATCCGATCAAAACCATCTCCCTCTAACTGTCACCCATTGGTTTTACGTCTCTGCATATGATTTGCAGATGGATCCAAATACTCAAGTTTGCCAAAGTAATGAAATAAGTTGACTTTATTTCAAAAAGAGAGAAAAGAAAAAGAACTGGACTCAAATGGGGACAGCAGCAGTTGAGCAGGGGGATCGGGATGGACTAGAGAGATACTTAGCACTAGAAACCACAGGACTATTCAAGGTTGTTAGCAGGATTGTGCCTTCATAGGGACTGCTCCCCAAAATCAATGTTAGAGTGATTACAAGGTAAAAGACAGAAGGAGGAACACAGAGAATTTGACTGAGTTATCAGACATAAGTATAATCAGAAAAACAAGATTCTTGGTGACTCACTTGAAGAACTCCTGCCATTTGATAAGCCCATCCTTAACAATTTTCAGTGTCTCGCTTGTAGACTCTTCCATTTGTTCTACCTCTTGTTTAAGTTTATTCACTAAGTTTCTCCATTTTTGTGTCAACTTCTGCAACAGTGCAAGGTCTTCAGTGTCCTATATAAAATGCATAGAATCAAATAATATATTCATTTATGTATATAACAAATAGTCATTAACATATACCAGGCCATTATTAATATTGTAATACTAGAGAAATTCATAGAAAATTGATTAAAAATTGAAAAGTTACACTACTACACCATTCATTTGGTGATGAATTTTCCATGGCATTTCTTATAAAGTATTAAGAGACAAGATTTTTTTTTCCTTTGCAACATGAACCCAATGTTTCCATAGGACTTTCACAGGGGCAGTGTGGTGTGCTAGACAGAACAGGAACCAAGAAGCCAAACCAAACCAAATGTGAATTATAGCTATTACTGGCTGTGTAACCTTGGGCAATGATATCTAATCTATTTGGGATTAATTTTTATTATCCATAAAGACCCTAATATCTATCTCACAGAATTGTCTTAAGAGTTAAATGAAATGACTAGTGTAAATGCTTTGACTCAGTAGAAACATGCTAAATGCCCTCCTTTTCTATCTAGTGTGCTCACTGAATTTTCCCATAAAATTGATAATGCAACTATTTCAAAAAACACAGCTATTTACTTTTTTTACTTTAACCATGAATCAATAGGATCATAATTGTATGAGTAACCTTGTAGTGTTATTAAACTTAAATAAATTGCTTTAATTAGAAGACAAATATAGAGAAATAAGGGCCTTTATTCACCTTCCCATAGATTTTTCATTCTGTACAATAAGCACTAATATAAAATGATATTTTTAAAATCGATAAATTTAACAAAGGCATCTTACAGTCTCAACCCTCACCACTTGGCATCTTTTTTTCCCATAACTGAAGATAATTGACCTTTACCTTGTTTGATAGCAGTATGATGAAATGCTTAGTGTATTTATTCCAGCCTTTTTCATTAAGGTAAAGTCTTCTAGCCAATATGACTCTATTTCTTTCAATCACCTATAAAAATAATGTACTATAATCAGGAACCTAAAACATTAGCAAACCACTATAATTTATTACAGTGATTTCATATATCGATTTTTCATGGAATCATTAACTCAACTAAAATTTCTCGTTTAAATCATTAACACGAATTACAAATTCACATTTTCCACTGAACTGGAACCAAACTGAAGTATAGTGTATAGCAAAACTTCTCCAAAAATTTGATCTAAAGACCCCTTTATACAAAAAATGTTATCTCAAGGCCCCTTTATACTCTCAAATGCTTTTATTTATATGGAATGCATCTATTGATATTTACTGTATTGGAAATTAAACTAGATATTTTTTTTTCTGAGACAGTGTCTTGCTCTGTCACCCAGGTTGGAGTGCAGTGGCGCAATCTCGGCTCACTGCAAGCTCCAACTCCCGGGTTCACACCATTCTCCTGCCTCAGCCTCCTGAGTAGCTGGGACTACAGGCACCCACCACGATGCCTGGCTAATGTTTTTTATTTTTAGTAGAGATGAGGTTTCACCTGTTAGCCAGGATTGTCTCGATCTCCTGACCTCGTGATCTGCCTGCCTCGGCCTCCCAAAGTGCTGGGATTACAGGCGTGAGCCACCACGCCCGGCAGAAAGTAAACTAGATTTAACACGTGTATTTGTTAATCACTTAAACATTAACAAACCCATTACATATTAACATAAATAGCATATTTATTTTTAAAAATTGTGTTAAATTAGTAAAAAGAGTGCTATTGTTTTACATTTTTACAAATCTAATGTTTGCCTTAGAAGAACAGAGCTGGATTCTCATTTGCTTCTGTATTCAATCTGTTAGAATATATCACGTCATGTAGCTGCTAGAAAAATCCACTGCATACTCTTAATAAAAGAATGAGAATGAAAAAGGCAAACAACATTTTAGTATTATAATGAAACTAATTTTGATTTCTTGAAGCTCTTAAAAGGGTCTCATAGAGGCCTCCTGCCCCCCACAAGGGGTCCCTGGGCCATACTTTGAGAACCACTAATATAAGAAATCAACTGCTAGTCATTTAATGAAATACTGTTCTAGACACTGTGGACATAGACATGGACAAAAGAGATAAAGTTCTTATTTTCAAGGAATTGACATTCTAACTGTCACTTCAGTTAGAAGGGACTCTAGGGATGATCTAACACAAAGCTCATCAATGCAAGGAATTCTACAGAAACCTCTACCAGGGGCCAGCTCTCTACTATTGAAATACTTCTAGTGTGAGGGATCTCACTTTTCTTCTTTTTTCTCCACTGAACATGTCTAGCTCAAATCTGTTTCTTACATCATGTATTTACTGTCATGATTGTTTCCTCTGAAAATGTCAATGTGCCCTTAAAAATTCTGCATCAGAATGGAACACTGTATTCTAGATGAGGTCTGACCATTTCAGAGAAAAATGAGACAATGATCTCCTTCTATTCTCTTTACTTCTAATCTTGTAAAAGTCCAGCATTGTTTTGAGAATCATTTCATGCAGTTGCCTTAGCAAATCCACAGTTACTTCAATGTCACAAATCTTTTTTTTTTTTTTTTTACATGGATTGCTCTTACATTGGGTCTCCTCCTTTAGGTGGCTGCCCTGAGTTTTGTTTGTCTTTTGTCTCTGAAGATGGTATATAATGGAAACTGGGAGTTCAGGCTCTGGGATCAGACTTGCTAGGTTCACCATTTATTAGCTATGTGAACTTAGGCAAATTACCTCTCTGAGTCCTCATATGAAAAATGTGGGTAATGATAGTACTGTTTCAAGGGATTACTGTAAGAACTATGCTAATTATTCCCTTAGCAAAATATCTGACAGATAGTAATAACTGAATAAATAATTGCTGATTCTTTTTTAAAAATAATATCATGGTAATTATTAATGTTAATCATATTAGTAAGATTAATCTATACATTTATCCCTACTAACATTTCATTTGTCTGGAAAGGCTCATCATTCTCAATCGTTGAGATATTTGAATCTCATGAAGTTTTATGGGCAGGAACTTTGTCTCAATTATTTTTATTTTACCAACCAGTACATGGCATAATGTCTGACACATAACACATGCTCAAAGTTTATTTTTAAAAATTAGTAGATCCTCAAAAATTACCATTCAGTCAAAAAATTAATATATATTTGTTAAAACAAAGTCAAACAATATAGAAGTATAAAGTAAATTTCAAAATTCCCACCAGCTCACCCAACCCTAACATTCAACTAACCAAAGGTAATGTCTTATTAGTTTGCTGTTCTCTTGGTGAAGATTTTGTGTGTGTGCATATATAAACTAAACTATATATAGTTTTTTTTTGTTTGTTTTTGTTCTTGTTTTTGTTTTGAGACTGATCCTCACTCTATGGCCCAGGCTGGAGTGCAGTGGCATGATTTCGGCTTACTGCAACCTCTGCCTCCCAGGTTCAAGTGTTTCTCCTGCCTCAGCCTCCCGAGTAGCTGGGATTACAGGCATGGGCCACCATGCTGCCTAATTTTTGTAATTTTTTTAGTAGAGACGGGGTTTTACCACGTTGGCCAGGCTGGTCTCAAACTCCTGACATCAGGCCATCCACCAGCCTCAGCCTCCCAAAGTGCTGGGATTACAGGCTTGAGCCACTATACTTGGCCACATAGTTATTTATATACTTGTGATAGTTTTTATTAAATGTTCTCCTATCCTTTTATATTATTCTAAAACTTGCTATTTCTTTTACTTATCATAGCCATCTTTGCACATACATATATATCTACAACATTCTTTTAAATGGCTCCTTAGTGTTCTACTGTTTGAATAACTATAATTTCCCTTCTGGTGGATATTTAGATTATTTCAATATTTTTGTAATCACAAGCAATGTTGAAATGAACATCCATATTCTTATTCACTTGTATTAGTATTTCTTAGGAATGGAATGACTTTTTGCCTGTGTGATTGGTTAATCAAACAGGTACAAATTTAAAATACTGTTAGCCTCTATAAAAATTTCTAAAATGGTTATATCAATATATATGCCCATCAATAGTACATGCAAATGTTCATGTTTATCATCTGTCTATGTTTGCCCATATGCTAAGCTAAAAATGTTATCTAATTATTCTGTATGTTCCATCTTATTGATGATTGGTGAGGTTGAACATATTTTCATATATTTATTGGCTATTTGAATTTCTTACTCTGAATTATCTGTTTATAGTCTGTGCCTACTGTTTTGCTGGATTATTTTACCTTTAAAATTTATTTATTCTACCACTTTAGTAATATTAACTATACAAACATTTTCTCCCAGTTTGTTATTTGCTTTTATTTCTAGTGATTGTCACTGAATGGAAGTTTTAAATTTTAAGATTTCCCGTCATACTTAGAAAGAGCTTTGGCCAGGCGCAGTGGCTCAGTCCTATAATCCCAGCACTTTGGGAGGTCGAGGCAGGCAGATGACAAGGTCGGGAGTTTGAGACCAGCCTGACCAACATGGTAAAACCCCGTCTCTACCAAAAATACAAAAATTATCTGGGTGTGGTGGCATGTGCCTGTAGTCCCAGCTACTTGAGAGGCTGTGGCAGGAGAATCGCTTGAACCCGGGAGGCAGAGGTTGCAGTGAGCCGAGATTGTGCCACTGCATTCCAGCCTGGGTGACAGAGTGAGACTCTGTCTCAAAAAAAAAAAAAAAAAAAGAGCTTCCACATTTCTCTCTTTACACACACACACACACACATATGTGAGACAGGGTCTAACTCTGTCACCCACACTGGAGTGCAGTGGTGTGATCTCAGCTCACTGCAGCCTCAATCTCCCTCCCTGCTTCTGCCCAGCACAAAGCACATGGAAAATTTTCCCCAAACTCATGGTTTTTACACTGGAAAAAGTGAGATCAAGATGGACAACAAGCTTCCTCATCATGTTGATTCCTTGGCAGGAGACCCCATCATGTTGATTCCTTGGCAGGAGACCCCATCATGTTGATTCCTTGGCAGGAGACCATCACAAGTGCCTGAAGAGATAAATATGCCTGAGGACAGGCAGAGACAAAGGGTAGAAGAAGGACTACCATCCCCAGGCCTGGAAACTTTGCTCTGCAACTCAGCCAAAGGAGACTCCATGTGAGAGAGGGTTATCAACAGCACCATGCTGTGCAAGGTTCATTCCACAGATTCCCTGGGCACTAGCCCCTAGCCATCCTTCTCACACTGCAGAGATATTGCCTTTGGAAACTCCCCTACATAGGAAGGGTAGCACTTCAATCCTTTACTAGAGTTGAGGTGAACCTGGGTTTAAAGCACCATGTAGTGCTGAAAAGGAGGCAGCAACCTTAAGATTTGCTAAGCAAAAATAGCCAATCAAACATAAAACAAGCCAGACAGAGAAGATTAGAATAAATAACTAAACCTTCAATGCAAAGTAATAGACATACATTCATAAGAAACAACAGCAAACAGGGAACCATGATCTCCCCAAATGGACAAAGCAAGGAACAAGTGAGTGACTCTAACACGTGAGCTCTCTGATGAAGAATTCAAAACTACAGTTTTAAGAAAACTCAGTGATCTCCAAGATAACCCAGAAAAGCAATTCAGAAATTTATCAGAGAAATGTAACAAAGAGATTGAAATAATAAAAAAATAAAATTACTGGAATTGAGAAATACATTTGCTGAACTGAAAAATTCATCAGAGGTTCTCAACAGCAGAATGCATCAAGAAGAGGAAAGAATCAGTGAACCCAAATACAGGCTACTTGTACACAATCAGAGGAGAAAAAAGGATAGAAAGAAACAAGAATCAGCCAGGCATGGTGGCTCACGCCTGCAATCCTAGCACTTTGGGAGGCCGGGGCAGGTGGATCACCTGAGATCAGGAGTTTGAGACCAGTCTGGCTAACATGGCAAAACTCCATTTCTACTAAAAATACAAAAAAATTAGCCAGGCCTGGTGGCACGTGCCTGTAATCCCAGCTACTCAGGAGACTGAGGCAGGAGAATCGCTTGAACCCGGGAGGCAGAGGTTGCAGTGAGCAGAGATCATGCCACTGCACTCCAGCCTGGGTGACAGAGCCAGACTCTGTCTCAAAAAAAAAAAAAAAAAAAGATAATAGAAAACTTTCAAAAACTTAGATATGAATGTCCAGTTATAGGAAGGTCTGAGAGCACCAAACAGATGTGACCCAAACAAGACCACCCAAGGTATACAACAATCAAACTCTCAAAGGCCAAGAACAAAAAGATGACCGTAAAAGCAGCAAGAGTAAAGAAGCAAATAACATGTTAAGGAGCTCCAACTTACCTAGCAACAGACTTCTCAGTGGAAACCATACAGGGCAGGAAGGAGAGAAATGACATTTTCAAAGTGCTGTAAGAAAACAAACAAACAAACGAACAAAACCCTGCTATCCAAGAGTACTATATCCAGCAAAGTTGTTCTTTAAATATGAAGGAGAGATAGTCTTTCCCAAACACAAGCTGAGAGAATTTACCACCACCAGACCTCTCTTACAAGAAATGCTAATGGGGAGTTCTTCAATCTAAAAGAAAAAAACACCAACATGTAAAAAAAAACTTTGAAGCTATAAAACCCACTGGTAAAATGATCTACACAGACAAATATAGAATATGCTAATACTGTAACTGTAGTGTGTAATCCACTCATAACTCTAGTATGAAGCCTAAAAGACAAATCTATCAAAAACAATAATAGCTACAGCAACTTGTTAAGAGATGGTTAATATATACAAATATGTAAATGCAAATAACTAAAAGTCAAAATGTTGAGGAGAATAGAGTTAAAGCGTATTTTTTTCATTTTTTATTTGCTTCTTTTCTTTTTTTGTAATCTAAGATAAATTGTCATCTCTTTTTTTAAAAAAACCTGTTATACAATGTTTTTTGTAAGCTTCATGGTAACCACCATGCAAAAACCTATAACAGATTCACTTAAAAAAAGGCAACAAATTAAAACATAATATCAGAGATAACCACTTAATCACAAAGGAAAACAGTGAGAAAGGAAAAGAGGAGTTATAAAACAAGATAAAAAGCAACAAAATGGAAGGAGTAAATCCTTACTTATCAATAATAACACTGAATGTAAATGAACTCAATTATCCAATTAAAAGGTACAGAATGGCTGAAAGGATAAAGCAACAAGACCCAACAATATCTGTCTACACAAAATCCACTCAACTATAATAACACATACATACTGAAAGTTTATGGGTAGAAAAATATATTCCATGCAATTGGAAACCAAAAGAGAGCAGGAGTAGCTATATTTATATCAGATAAAATGGGTTACAAATCAAAGACTGTAAAAAAAAAAGGTTACTATATAATTATAAAGGATTCAATTCAGCAAAAAGATATAACAATTATAAAGAAGGTGTAACAATTATACGCCCAACACTGGAGCTCCAAACTATACAAAGCAAACATTAACAGATATAAAGGGAGAGATGGCCAGGCACAGTGGCTCACACCTGTAATCCCAGCACTTTGGGAGACTAAGGTGGGCGGATCACTTGAGGTCAGGAGTTCGAGACCAGCCTGGCCAACATGGTGAAACCCTGTCTCTACTAAAAATACAAAAATTAGCCAGGCATGGTGGCAGGTACCTGTAATCCCAGCTACTTGGGAGATGGAGGCAGGAGAATTACTTGAACCCACGAGGCGGAGGTTGCAGTGAGCCGAGACTGCACCACTGCACTCCAGCCTGGGCAACAGAGTGAGACTTCATCTCAAAGAAAAAAAAAGGGGGAGAGACAAAATGTAATATAATAATAGTGGGGGATTTTAACACTCTTTTCAGTAATGGACAGACAAGAAATCAACAACAACAAAAAACGGAGTTAAACTACACACTGGACCTAATAGGCCTAACTGACATTTACAGAACATTTCACCCATCTGTTAAGGAATACACATTCATTTTGTCAGCAGATGAAACATTCTCTAGAATATACCATATCTTAGGCCACAAAACAAGTCTGAAGAAATTCAAAAAAGTAGAAATCATATAGAGTATTTTTTCTGACCACAATGATGGAATAAAACTTGAAATCAATAACAGGAAGAAACTTGGATACTTCATAAACACACAGAAATTAAATAACATTTTATGGAATGACCAATGGTCAATGTAGGAATCAAGAACAAAATGAAAAATCATCTTGAAATAAATGAAAATGTAAAAACAGCATACAAAAATCTATGGGATACAGTAAAAGCAGTATGAACAGATAAGTTTATAATTTATTGTTATAAATTATATATTTGATATATCTATATCAAAATGATAGAAAGACGGGAAATAACCTAACAATGCACCTCAAGGAACTAGAAAAGCAAGAACAAACCAAACCTAAAATTAGTAGAAGGAAAGAAATAATACAGATAACAGCAGAAATAAATAAAATTGAGACAATAAATACAAGGAATCAATGAAAGGAAAAGCTGCTGTTTTTTTTTTTTTTTTTCTTTTGAGATGGAGTTTCGTTCTTGTTGCCCAGGCTGGAGTGCAATGGCACAATCTTGGCTCACCGCAACCTCTGCCTCCCGGATTCAAGAGATTCTCCTGCCTCAGCCTCCCAAGTAGCCGGGATTACAGGCGCCTGCCACCATGCCTGGCTAATTTTTTTGTATTTTTAGTAGAGACAGAGTTTTACCATGTTGGCCAGGCTGGTCTCAAACTCCTGACCTCAGGTGATCCACCCACTCTGACCTCCCAAAGTGCTACGATAACAGGTGTGAGCCACTGCGCCCAGCTGAAAAGTTGGTTTTTTGAAAAGATAAGCAAAATCAATAAAGCTTTAGCTAGACTAAATAAGAAAAAAGATAAAGGTCCAGGCATGGTGGCTCACACCTGTAATCCCAACTTTTGCAGGCCGAGGCAGGTGGATCACTTTAGGCCAGGAGTTTAAGACCAGCCTGGCCAACATGGTAAAATCCCATCTCTACTAAAAATACAAAAATTAGCCAGGCATGGTGGTGCACACCTGTATTCCCAGCTACTCAGGAGGCTGAGGCACAAGAATCACTTGAACCCAGGAGGCAGAGGTTGCAGTGAGCTGAGATCACGCCACCCCACTACACTACAGCCTGGGTGAAAGAGCAAGACTCTGTCTCAAAAAAAAAAAAAAAAAAAAAAAAAAAAAGGAAAAGAAAAAGAAAAGGAAGGAAGGAAGAAAGGAAGGAAGGAAACCATAGAGAACCACAAAAGACCCCAAATAACCAAAGCAATCTTGTGCAAAGAGAACAAAGCAGGAGGCATCACACTACCTGACTTCGAAATTTACTACGAAGCCATAGTAAACAAACCAGCATGGTAATGGCATAAAAGCAGACATATAGACCAATGCAATAAAATATAGAACCTGGATATAAATTCATGCATATATAGCCAACCATCTTTGACAAAGAAGGAAGAAAGGAAGGAAGGAAGGAAGGAAGGAAGGAAGGAAGGAAGGAAGGAAGGAAGGAAGGAAGGGATACCCAAATAGAATAAGAAACGAAAAAGAAGATGTAACAACTGAGACCACAGGAATACAAAGAAGCATTAGAGACTTACAAACAACTATGCATGAACAAATTGGAAAACCTAGGGCTGGACATGGTAGCTCACGCCTGTAATCCCAGTACCTTGGGAGGGTGGGGCAGGCAGATCACTTGAGGTCAGGAGTTCAAGACCAGCCTGGCCAACATGGTGAAACCGTCTCTACTAAAAATACAAAAATTCATCAGGTGTGGTGGCGGGCACCTGTAATCCCAGCAACTCAGGAGGCTGAGACACGAGAATTGCTTGAACCTGGGAAATGGAGGTTGCAGTGAGCCAAGACTGTGCCACTGCACTCCAGCCAGGGGGAAAATGGAAAAAAAAAAAAAAGGAAAACCTCAATAAACCAATAACAAGTAATGAGATCAAAGCCATAACACAAAGTCTCCCATCAAAGAAAATCCCAGGACCTAATGGCTTCATAGTTGAATTCTACCAAGTATTTGAAGAAGAACTAATATCAATTCAACATAAACTCTTCAAAAAATTTGAAAAGGAAGGAATACTTCCAAACTCATAAGGCATTACCCTAATATCAAAACCAGACAAGAACACAACAAAAAAAAGAAAACTACAGGCCAATATCATGGATGAACACAGATGTAAAAATCCTCACAAAATATAAGCAAACCAAATTCAACAACATGTTAAAAAAGATCATTCACCATGATCAAGTGGGATTCATCTCAGGGATATGAGGATGGTTCAACATGTGCACATCAATAAATGTGATACATCACATTAACAGAACCAAGAACAAGAAGCATAGCATCATTTCAATAGAAGCTGAAAAAGCACTTGATAACATTCAACATCCCTTTATGATAAAAACCCTCATCAAATTTAGTATAGAAGAAACATACCTCAAAATAAAAGAAAGCCATATATGGCAAACCCACAGTTAACATTGTACTGAATGGGGAAAAATTAAAGGCCTTTCCTCTAAGATCTAGAACAAGACAAGGATGCCCATTTTCACCACTTTTATTCCTGGAAGTCCTGGACAGAGCAATTAGGCAAGAGAAAGAAATAAAAGGCATCTAAATTGAAAATAAAGAAATCAAATTAGCCTCATTCACAAAAGACATAATCTTATACTTTAAAAAACCTAAAGACTCCACCAAAAACCTGTTAGAACTGAAAAACAAATTCAATATATTTCAAGTATACAAAATCAACATACAAAAATCAGTAGGATTTATATATACCAATTGCAAACAATCTGAAGATGAAATCAAGAAAGCAGCTCTATTTAAAATAGCAATAAATGCTCCCTCTCCCTCTCCCTCTCCCTCTCTGTCTCCCTCCCCCTCCCCCTCCCCCTCTCCCTCTCCCTCTCCCCACCATCTCCCTCTCCCTCTCTTTCCACGGTCTCCCTCTGATGCCGAGCTGAAGCTGGACTGTACTGCTGCCATCTCGGCTCACTGCAACCTCCCTGCCTGATTCTCCTGCCTCAGCCTGCCGAGTGCCTGCGATTGCAGGCGCACGCCGCCACGCCTGACTGGTTTTCGTATTTTTTTGGTGGAGACGGGGTTTCGCTGTGTTGGCCGGGCTGGTCTCCAGCTCCTAACCGCGAGTGATCCGCCAGCCTTGGCCTCCCGAGGTGCCGGGATTGCAGACAGAGTCTCGTTCACTCAGTGCTCAATGGTGCCCAGGCTGGAGTGCAGTGGCGTGATCTTGGCTCGCTACAACCACCTCCCAGCCGCCTGCCTTGGCCTCCCAAAGAGCCGAGATTGCAGCCTCTGCCCGGCTGCCACCCCGTCTGGGAAGTGAGGAGCCTCTCTGCCTGGCCGCCCATCGTCTGGGATGTGAGGAGCCCCTCTGCCTGGCTGCCCAGTCTGGAAAGTGAGGAGCGTCTCTGCCCGGCCGCCATCCCATCTAGGAAGTGAGGGGGGCCTCTTCCCCGCCGCCATCCCATCTAGGAAGTGAGGAGCGTCTCTGTCCGGCCGCCCATCGTCTGAGATGTGGGGAGCGCCTCTGCCCCGCCGCCTCGTCTGGGATGTGAGGAGCGCCTCTGCCCGGCGGCGACCCCGTCTGGGAGGTGAGGAGCGTCTCTGCCCTGCCGCCCCGTCTGAGAAGTGAGGAGACCCTCTGCCTGGCAACAGCCCCGTCTGAGAAGTGAGGAGTCCCTCCGCCCGGCAGCCGCCCCGTCTGAGAAGTGAGGAGCCCCTCCGTCCAGCAGCCACCCCATCTGGGAAGTGAGGAGCGTCTCCGCCCGGCAGCCACCCCGTCCGGGAGGGAGGTGGGGGTCAGCCCCCCGCCCGGCCAGCCGCCCCGTCCGGGAGGGAGGTGGTGGTGTCGGCCCCCCACCCGGCCAGCCGCCCCGTCCGGGAGGGAGGTGCGGGGGTCAGCCCCCCGCCCGGCCAGCCGCCCCGTCCGGGAGGTGAGGGGTGCCTCTGCCCGGCCGCCCCTACTGGGAAGTGGGGAGCCCCTCTGCCCGGCCACCACCCCGTCTGGGAGGTGTACCCAACAGCTCATTGAGAATGGGCCATGATGACAATGGCGGTTTTGTGGAATGGAAAGGGGGAAAAGGTGGGGAAAAGATTGAGAAATCGGATGGTTGCCGTGTCTGTGTAGAAAGAAGTAGACATGGGAGACTTTTCATTTTGTTCCGTACTAAGAAAAATTCTTCTGCCTTGGGATCCTGTTGATCTGTGACCTTACCCCCAGCCCTATGCTCTCTGAAACATGTGCTGTGTCCACTCAGGGTTAAATGGATTAAGGGTGGTGCAAGATGTGCTTTGTTAAACAGATGCTTGAAGGCAGCATGCTCGTTAAGAGTCATCACCACTCCCTAATCTTAAGTACCCAGGGACACAAACACTGCGGAAGGCCGCAGGGTCCTCTGCCTAGGAAAACCAGAGACCTTTGTTCACTTGTTTATCTGCTGACCTTCCCTCCACTATTGTCCTATGACCCTGCCAAATCCCCCTCTGCGAGAAACACCCAAGAATGATCAATAAAAAAATAAATAAATAAATAAAATAAAAATAAATAAATAAAAATAAAATAGCAATAAATAATATAAAATACCTAAATTTGGAAAAGAAGTAAAAGATCTATACAAGGAACACTATAAAACTCTGATTAAAAAAAAGACATAAAAAATGGAAATATATTCCATGCTCATGGACTGGAAGAACTAATATTGTTAAATGGCAATACTACCCAAAGAAATTTGCAGATTCAATGCCAGCCCTCTTAAAATACCAATGGCATTCTTCACAGAATTTTTTTTTTAAATCCTAAAATCTATATGGAACCACAAAAGGCCCCAAATAACCAAAGCAATCCTGTGCAAAAAGAACAAAGCAGGAGGCATCACACTACCTGACTTCAAAATTTAGTACAAAGCCATAGTAAACAAATCGGCATGGTAATGGCATAAAAGCAGACACACAGACCAATGCAACAATAAAACTAGACCCCCTATTTCTCACCATATACAAAAATCAAATCAAAATGGATTAAAGACTTAATTCTAAGACCTGAAACTAAAACAACTCCTTGAAGAAAACGTTGGGGAAACACTCTAGGACATTGGTTTGGGCAAAGATTTTCCGTGTAAGACCTCAAAAGCACAGGCAACCAAAGCAAAAAGAAAGAAAAAGCAATTACATCAAGCTACAAACCTTCTGCATGGTAAAGGAAACAATCAACAAAGTGAAGAGAAAACCTACAGAGATAGAGAAAATATTTGCAAACTATCTATCTGATAAGGGAGTTACAACCAGAATTTATAAGGAGCTCAAACAACTCAATAGCAAAAAAAAAAAAAGAGGAGATAGTCTGATTTTAAAATGGGCAAAAGATCTGAATAGATATTTCTCCAAAGAAGACATACAAATGGCAAACAGGTATGTGAAAAAATGCTCAACATCAGTAATCATCAAAGAAATGCAAATCAAAACTACAATGAGATATCATCTCACCCCAGTTAAAATGGATTGTATCAAAAAACAGGCAATACAGATGCTTGCAAAGATGTGGAGAAAGGAGAACTGTTCTATAAAAGGGCCGTATATGCAAGGAAGTTTCCAAATGCCGAAGGAGCTGAGAAACCAAAAACCAAGGCAGACAAATCCAATTTGTGGGTAAAGGGTGTTTTATTGGGGAAACTAACAGAAGCATTGTCTAGGGTAGCCACAAGACAGGTAGATCTCTGCACTGTTACTCCCCAGGCTCAAGGCTTATATACCATAAAGAAAGGGTATGCTTGTTTTGTGCAACACAAAAGCAACCCTCCAGAACAGGCAAGAATGCTGTAAGCATCATAGCCTTATAATTTATGTGATAACATCAAGGTTGCTTTGTTCTTACACTGAGAAAAGTAAATAGAAATCAGGAGGCATTCACTTGACTGGGGCTAATCAGAAGTCAATATGGCACATTAGCATTCAACATGGAGTCACTTTTGTCTCCACTTGTACGCTGTTGGTGGGAATGTAAATTAGTATAGCCACTGTGGAGAACATTATGGAGGTTCCTCAAAAAACTAAAACCAGAACTACCATATAATCCAGCAATTAATTCCACTGCTGGGTACATGTCCTAAAGAAAGAAAATCAGTATATCAAAAGATACCAGCACTATTCACAATAGCCAATATATGCAATCAACCTAAGTGCCCACCAACGAATGAATAATGAAAACACAGTATATAAACCCAATGGAATATTATTCAGCCACTGAAAAATAATAAAATCCTATCATTTGCAGCAACATGGATGAAACTGGAGGTCATTTTGTTAAGTGAAATAAGCCAAGTCACAGAAAGACAAAGATTGCAAGTATCCACATGTGGGAGCTAAAAGAGTGGATCACATGAAGATAGAGAGTAGATTCATGGTTACCAGAGGCCAGGAAGGGTAGGAGAGAGAGAAGATAAAGAGAGGTTGATTAATGGGTACAAGTATATGATTTAACAGAAGAAATAAGTCCTAGTGTTAGATAGATAGGTAGACTGACTATAGTTTACAACAATCTATTGCACATTCTAAAATAGCTAGAAAAGAGTAAATCAAATGTATCTACCACAAAGAAAAGACAAATATTTTAGATGATGTCTATCCTAAGTACACATATTTGATCTTTACAAACTACATGAATGCATTAAATTATAAGATGTACCCTGCTACTCGGGAGGCTGAGGCAGGAGAATGGCACGAACCCGGGAGGTGGAGGTTGCAGCGAGCAGAGATCGCGCCACTGCACTCCAGCCTGGGCAACAGAGTGAGACTCCATCTCAGAAAAAAAAAAAGATGTACCCTGGAGAGAAAAGAAAGTTCATTAATGATTACCTAAGTTGAATGGGTTGGAGGTAATGAGAAGCGACTGCTAAAATGTATGGAGTTTCTTTTGAGGGTAATGAAGAAGTTTTCAGATTGGTTGTGGTGATGGTTTCACAGTTCTGCGACCATGCTAAAAAACATATAATTGTACACTTTAATTGGGTGAATTATATGTCACAAAAGCTACTATTTTTTTGAAAATTCTCATGTAATTTCTTCTAATATGTTTATAATTACATTGTTTTTAACATTTAATTATTCCCTTCTGGGATTTACTTTTTAGTTATCTTTTTAATGAGGTCGGGATCTAAATTTGTTTTGTTTTGTTTTGTTTTTTGAGATGCAGTCTCGCTCTGTTGCCCAGGCTGGAGTGCAGTGGTGCGATCTCGGCTCACTGCAACCTCCACCTCCCGGGTTCAAGCAATTCTCGTGCCTCAGCCTCCTCAGTAGCTGGGACTACAGACACCCGCCAATATGCCCAGCGAATTTTTGTATTTTTAGTAGAGATGGGGTTTCACCATGTTGGCCAGGCTGGTCTTGAGCTCCTAACCTCAGGTGATCCACTTGCCTTGGCCTCCCAAAGTGCTGGGATTACAGGCATTGGCCATCACGCCCAGCCGAAATCTAAATTTTTTAACAATTGAATAATCGATTGTGCCAACCCAATTTGAATATCCCATATATAGGTGAGTCTATTTCTGACCTTTTTCTATTCTATTCTGTTGTATTTATCTATTCTAACCAAGTAACACATTTTCTCAGTTACTTTGACTTTATAATACATTTTGATGTCTAAAAGTACAAGTTATTTTTATTAATCTTCTTTTAAAATGTTTTATTATTCTCATATTCAGATTCTTCCAGATGGGTTTTATAAACAACTTGCCAAATTCCTAAAAATAAAATTGTTACTGAGATTTTTAGTGGAATTATATCAAATTTAAAGATTAATTTGGCCGGGCGCGGTGGCTCACACTTGTAATCCCAGCACTTTGGCAGGCTGAGGTGGGCGGATCACGAGTTCAGGAGATCGAGACCATCCTGGCTAACACGGTGAAACCCCCTCTCTACTAAAAATACAAAAAATTAGCCAGGCGAGGTGGCGGGCGCCTGTAGTCCCAGCTACACAGGAGGCTGAGGCAGGAGAATGGCGTGAACCCCAGGGGGCGGAGCCTGCAGTGAGCCGAGATCATGCCACTGCACTCCAGCATGGGTGAAAGAGCGAGACTCCATCTCAAAAAAATAAATAAATAAATAAATAAATAAAGATTAATTTGGAGAGAACTGACATCTATACAATATTGATTATTGTTCTCAACCAGTGATATGCTATACAGCTCTCCTTTTAGTTTGCTTTTAAGTTCTTTACCATGGTTTTAGTGTTTTCAAGATACAGGTCTTATCCCTTCTTATTAAATTTATTCCCTCTTTGCATTTCTAATGTTTATTATTGTATATAGGTAATACGTTGGGTTTTTTTTTGTATTTATCTTGTATTCATCAACCTTTATTAAAGGCTAAATAATTCAAATAATGTTTAAATTTATTTTTTTCTGGTTAGAAAACTGCATTATTTGCCCAATGTTTGTTAAAAAATTGTATATTTATCTTATATTCAGCAACATTATTAAAGGCTAATTAATTCAAATAATATTTAAATTTATCTTTGCTAGGTAGATAATTGCTTTATCAGGAAATAATAGTGACTTTGACCATAATGAGATACCATCTCACACCAGTCAGAACGGCTATTATTAAAAAGTAAAAAAAAAACAGATGTTGACGAGGATGCAGAGAAAAGGGAACACTTATATACTATGGTGGGAATGTAAATTAGTTCAACCCCTGTGGAAAACAGTATGGAGATTTCTCAAAGAACTAAAAATGGAACTACCATTTGACCCAGCAATCCCACTAGTGGTTATATACCCAAAGGAAAAGAAATCATTTAATCAAAAAGACACCTGCACTCATATGTTTATTCCAGCACTATTTACAATAGCAAAGTCATGGAATCAACCGAAGTGTCCATCAATGATTAATTGGGTAAAGAAAATGTGGTATATACCATGGAATATTATGCAGCCATAAAAGAGAATGAAATTATATGCTTTGAAGCAACATGGATGAAGCTGAAGGCAATTATCTTAAGTGAAAAAACTCAGAAACAGAAAATCAAATACTGCATGTTCTCACTTGTAAGTGGGAACTAAACAATGGGTATACATGGACACAAGGACGAAAATAATAGACACTGGTGACTCCAAAAGTGGGGAGGGTGGGAAAGGACCAACAGTTGAGAATTCACCTATTGGATACAATGTTCACTATTTGGGTGATGGGCTCACTGGAAGCCCAAACCTTATGATTTACACAATATATCCATGTAGCTATCCTGCACACGTACCCCTGAATCTAAAATAAAATTTAAAATTAATTAATAAAATAAATATAAACAGTTAATGTGGATATGTTTATTACCTTGATTGTCATGAGGGTATCACGAGTGTATGTAAATGTTCAATGTCAAATTGAATATATTAAACATGTGTGGATTTGTTTTTTTTGTATATCAATTGTACTTCAATAAAGGTGTTAAAAACAATGTAATATGTTAATAAAGTAAAAGGAAATCAAGATGTAGTAATCTCAATTGACACAGAAAATATATTTGACTAAATACAGCACCTATTTATGATTAAACTCTAAACAAATGAAAAATTTAAGGGAACTTCCACAACCCAATAAAGGGTATATATGAAAGCCTACAGTAAATATTGTACTTAATGGTGAAAGCAGAATGTCTTCCCCATAAGACTGAGAACAGGAATACTCACTTTTACCACTTCTATTCAACAATATACTGGGAATTTTTGCTAAAGAAATCAGTGGGAAAAAAAATTTTAAAGAGATTTTGCTGCTTCCTATAAGTAGTTATATCTCTTGATTTTATTTGCATGTTATTACTGAATTAGGATCTCCAGTGATAGCAGAAATCCTTTCTCCTCTCTTGAATGGAAATGCCTCTAGCATGTCCCCAGTAATGATCTAGATTTCTAATAATTACCTCTAGTAAGTAAATGAACTTTCCTAAATAACAAGCCTTGATTCCACTATCTAGTATATTAGCTTTCTCTCTAGCTTTAGGACACTTGACAGGGATGCCTTCTACATTTTCTTCCAAATAACTGACAAACTACTACATGTGGCAGGGTTAATACAGAGCTCTAATGCAGATGTATTAATGCATTAATGCAGTATATCTCCATGGAGAACGCTGTGACCTGCCACCAGTAGACCAGTGAACCAATTTAACTGAACTCATTTTTTAATCTTTTGAGGATCAAAATTCACTGTACCTAGAAGTCCCAGTTGTCAGAATAGGCAACCAACAAGTAAATATTTTAGAAATATAGAATATTGTGTGACTTTGCTATTTCCCTAAAGTATTACTATAATGGTCCACAGTGTACCATATTTCAATTCATTTGTCATCTTGTGTACCAAGGTAAACAGAATCAGAGAGTGGGTCAGCCACAGTGGCTCATGCATGTAATCCCAGCACTTTGAGAGGTTGAGGCAGGAGGATGATTTAAGCCTAGGAGTTCAAGACTATCCAGGGCAACATAGAGAAATCCCATCTCTACAAAAAATTAAAAATTAGCCAGGAGTGGTGGTGCACACCTGTAATCCCAGCTACTCAAGAGGCTGAGGTGGGAGAATTGCTTGAGCCCAGGAGGTCAAGGCTACAGTAAGCTGTGATTGCACCACTCACCACTATACTCCAGCCTGGGCAACAGAGTGAGACCCTGTTTTTTTAAAAAAAAAAGAGAATCAGAGTGTGATATCCAGTGATCCAAATATGGTCACCTTGTATGAAGAGATAAGAACCACCTTTCCTACTTTATTATTAGTATAAATTAAAGTTGAAAATTTTAACATGTTCCCAAACAACAGAAAAAGAACACTTGTTCATATTTCATAGATTCTGCCCTTAAAAAAAAAAAGACCCTTAATTGTGTAATAGCTATGTGCCCAACAAATGCAAGAATAAAAAGAAGAAATTCAACTTTTCCTTTTCAAAGCCCACAAAAGTTACATTATACATCAATAAATATACATCCTCATTTTTTTGAGTCTTTGTCTAGATTATTGAAAACTGCAAAACAGGCCGGGTGTGGCAGCTCATGCCTGTAATCCCAGCTACTCAAGAGGCTGAGGTGGGAGAATTGCTTGAACCCAAGAGTCAGAGGTTGCAGTGAGCCGAGATCACATCACTGAATTCCAGCCTAAGCAACAGAGTGAGTAAGACTCTTTCAAAACAAAACAAAACAAAAAAAACAAATTTTAAAACTGTAGAATGAATCTTTAGCCAAAAAAGAAGTGTGAGTTGTGAATCCAGATGAACTAACCTTCAGGGCCAATTCATATGTGGCTGAGCTCCAGATATCTCTTTCTGCCACTAACTTTTTCATATCATTCTCCATCCTTTCTCTTTGTAATGTATATAAGTCATGATATTCTTCTACTATTCTATAAAAACAATTAAGAAACAGCTTCATTTAATTTATACTAACAATATAGACACATATATTTTTTAAAAAAGAAATTTGTTTTAAAATAGGTAATGTGTTCCTTTAAAACTCATCATAAGGTAATTATGGTATAATTGCTGAATATATTGATAACACATATACAGTGAAATAGAAGAAAAATACTCACATTTAATTTATAAATCTTATAAAAGTCTTAATGAAAGTAAAAATCTCATATACTGTTCCTTGCTCTAAACATTTTTCATCTTATTCTTTATTTTTTCACTAGAATTCTGACATGATATTCCAATGGTATAATAACACCATATCTAATGAAAAATTCAGCATACAAGTAACAATAACCTAACAGTTTTATTGTCAAAGTTTGCTCACAGACCTAAGATTCTTTATGAAAGGTACAAAGTCCAATAATTGTGAGCCACTAAAATTTTTAATTATACATAATTAGTACAAGATTAAAGAAAATTGTCCCTTAACCCTTTAAAACCTTAAATAAAGCAGCTTTTTCTTAACTATTGTTTCTTTATGTCTACCAGAACATACCTTTTTCCTTCTAATTTACACTGAAGCTTCATTTAAAATTAACAGACTTCCTGGCTGGGCGCAGTGGCTCACGCCAGTAATCCCAACACATTGGGAGGCCGAGGCAGGTAGATCACCTGAGGTCAGGAATTTGAGACCAGCCTGGCCAACATGGTGAAACCTCGTCTCTACAAATACAAAAATTAGCCAGGTGTGGTGGCGTGTGCCTGTAGTTCCAGCTATTTGGGAGGCTGAGGCAGGAGAATTGCTTGAACCTGGGGGGCAGAGGTTGCAGTGAGCCGAGATCGCGCCACTGCACTCCAGACTGGGCGACAGAAAAATTAAAAGACCTCCTGAAGTAAATACAAACATAGAAGTTATAACGTAACAAGTAGCATTTCACAAATCTTTTGAAACACTTCCTCCCAAGGACTTTGCAATAAGAATTAGTCCACTGAAGTAGAATTCTTCTAGTCTTAGAGGCTTTCATTTGTTCAAAATAATAAAAAAAAACTTATACAGGTGAATACACATGTACAAATTCACTGAGCTATACTCTTAAGATTTGTGCACTTTATTGCCTAAAAATTAGACCTCAATTATCAAAAGAGAATTAATGACCCTAATTTAACAGTAAAAGCAAAAAATCCAGAAACAATCTCAATGTCCAACAACAAAAGAGTAGACAGATAAAAATATAATGTAGTTCTATGATTTAAAAAAAAAACACTGGAGATAATTAAACATCATCATATTATTTTTGTTTTGTTTCGTTTTTTGTTGTTTTGAAACAGAGTTTCGCTCTTGTCCCCCAGGCTGGAGTGCAATGGCACAATCTCGGATCACTGCAACCTCCACGCCTGGCTAATTTTTGTATTTTTAGTAGAGACAGGGTTTCACCATGTTGGCCAGGATGGTCTCAAACTCCTGACCTCAAGTGATCCGCCCGCCTCAGCCTCCCAGGGGTGCTGGGATTACAGGCATGAGCCACCGTACCTGGCTAAACATCATATTCTTAATACTTTGGTACATGGGAAATTTCTTCATGTTATAATACACAATGAAAAAACCAAAATGCTAAAATTATAAAATGTTTGATCTCATTTCTATTAAAAAAATACATAAAGTTCTAGCTAATTTGGCAAGTGAAAGAAATAAAGGGCATCCAAATTAGAAAGATAGAAGTCAAATTGTTCCTGTTTGCAGACAGCAAGATCTTACATATTTTTTTAAAAAACCCCTAAAAGTGGCACCAAAAAACTCCTAGAATTGATATACAAATTCAGTAAAGTTGCAGGATACAAAATCAACATACAAAAATCAGTAGTGTTTCTATACACCAACAATGAACCAGTAGAAATCAAGAAAGCCATCCCATTCATAATAGATACCAAAAAAGAACATCTAGGAATAAATGTAATCAAGGAAGTGAAAAATATGTACAAGAAAAACTACAAAACACTGATGAAAGAAATTGAAGATGACACAAATAAACTGAAAGCCATACCATACTAGTGAATCGAAGAATTCATATCATTAAAATGAATATATTGCCCAAGCAATCTATAAATTCAATGCAACCCCTATCAAAATACCAATGTCATTTTTGGCAAAAAAAAAAAAAAAAAAAAAGAAAGAAAAAAAGAAAACACACTTTAAGAGTCAAGGCAGGAGGATTACTTGAACCTAGGAGTTTGAGACCAGCCTTGGCAACATAGTAAGACCACATTTAGGGGAAAAAAAAAATTTTACCCAGGCACCAGGCACTCTAGTGTGTACCTGTAGTCTAGCTACTCAGTTGGCTGATGTGTAAGGATTGCTTGAGCATTGAGGTCAAGGCTGCAGTGAGCCATGATCATGCAACTGCACTCCAGCCTGGAGGATACAGTGAACCCCATCTCTATAAAGAATTTTTCATAAAATTATCCAGGTTTGGTGGCTCATGCCTGTAACCTCAGCACTTTGGGAGGCCGAGGTGGGATCACTTAAGGTCAGGAGTTCAAGACCAGTCTGGCCAACATGGCGAAAACCCATCCTACTAAAAGTACAAAAATTCACCAGGTGTGATGGCATGTGCATGCCTGTAGTCCCAGCTACTTGGGAGGCTGAGGCAGAAGAATAGCTTGAACCCAGAAGGCAGTGGTTGAAGTGAGCCGAAATCACACCAGTACACTCCAGCCTGGCAACAGAGTGAGATTTTGTCTCAAAAAAAAAAAAGAATTTTTCATAAAATTGGAAAAAAATGACGATTAAATCAGATGCACAGATAGCAAAGTAAGAACATAGGAAACATGAAAAAATAATTATCTAGTAACCAATCTCAACAGAAAGGAAATTTATAAAATGTCTGAAAAAGATTTCAAAATAATGATATTAAAGAAACCCAGTGAGATACAAGACACACAGATAAAGAACACAAATAAATCAGGAAAACAATCCATGATCTGGATGAGAAACTCAACAGAGACAGGTATCATAAAAAGGAATGAAACAAAAACCCTGGAACTGAAGAATTCAATAAATGTAATAAAAAATACATTTGATAGCTTCAACAATAGACTATATCAAGTAGAAGAAGGAATTTCTTCTGACCTTGAAGACAGGTCTTTTGAAAAAACCTAGTCAGACTTTAAAAAGGAGAGAGAGAAATGAATTGAAAACAATGAAGAAAGCTTATGTGGATATATGGGACACCATAAAGTGACCAAATTTTTTTTATTCTGGGGAGTTTCGGAAAGAGAAGAGATGGACAAAGACACAGAAAACCTATTTAATAAACTAATAGCTTGAAAATTCCCAAATCTTGCAAGAGATAAAGACATCCAGATACAAGAAGCTCAAAGATCCCCAACCCAAATTTGACTGTGGGACAGTCAACCCACAAAGATATTTTCTAAGGCATATTACAGTCAAACTGTCAGAAGTCAGAGACAAAGGGAGAATTCTAAAAACAGCAAGAGAAAAACATCAAGTTACACATAAGGGAATCCACATTAGACTAATGGGTTTCTCAGCAGAAACCTTAAGCCAGGAAAGAATTGAATGATATATTCAAAATGCTGAAAGGAAAAAAAGAGGCCAGGCACAGTGTTTCACGCCTGTAATTCCAACACTTTGGGAGGCCAGTGCAGGCAGATCACGAGGTCAGGAGATCGAGACCATCCTGGCCAACATGGTGAAACCTCGTCTCTACTAAAATACAAAAATTAGCCGGTCATGGTGGCACGCGCCTGTAGTCTCAGCTACTCGGGAGGCTGAGGCAGGGGAATTGCTTGAACCAGGGAAACGGAGGTTGTAGTGAGCTGAGATCACACCACTACACTCCATTCTGGTGACAGAGCAAGACTCCATCTCAAAACAAAAAAAAAAAGAAAGAAAAAAAACCCTGCTAGCCAAGAATTCTGTACCTAGCAAAGTCATCCTTCAAAAGTAAAGGACAAAAGAAGTCTTTCTCAGATAAGCAAAAACTGAGGAAATTCATCACCACTAGACCAGCCTGAAGGTAGTCCTATATTTAGAAACAAAATGACAATATCTACCATCATGCAAACACATCAGTGTAAAAAATCTCACTGGTAGAGCAGAAACAAAAAAGAGAAAGGATTCAAATGTTACCACTACAGAAAACCACCAAACAGCAATGATAAACAATAAAATAAGAGGAAAGGAGAAAAAGCTATACAAAATAATCAGAATATAATTAACAAAATGACAGGAGTAAGTCCTCACCTATCAATAATAACCTTGAATATAAAAGAATTAAATTCCCCCATGTAAAAGATATAGATTGGCTGAATGGATATAAAAATGCAACCTAAACATATGCTGCCTCCAAAAAACTCACTTCACTTGCGAAAACATATATAGCCTAAAAGTGAAGAGATGGAAAAAGACACTCTATGCAGACAGAAACCAAAGCAAGCAGGAGTACTTATACTTACATCAGATAAATCAGAATTTAAGTCAAAATCTATAAAAAGAGACAAAGAAGTTCATTATATGAAGATAAAGGGATCAATTCAGGAAAAGGATATAACAACTCTAAATATATATGCACCCAACCCTGGAGCACCCAGATGTATAAAGCAAACATTAGATCTAAAGAGACAGATGGAAGCTAATACAATAATGGTTGGGGCCTTCAAAACCCTACACTCAGCATTCAAAAGATCATCTAGACAGAAAGTTAACAAAGAAACATTGGATTTAAGCAATACTTTAGAACAAATGGACATTACAGGAATTTACAAAACATTTTATCCAACATCTGCAGAATACACATTCTTCTCATCAGCACATGGAACATTCTCCACAAGTGACCATATATTAGGCCACAAAATAAGTCTCAATACATATTTAAAAATTGGAAACATATCAAGTATCTTCTTGGACCACAATGAAGTAAAACTAGAAATTAATAACAAGAGAAACTTTGGAAACTGTACAAATATGTGGAAGTTAAACAACATGCTCCTGAATGATCACTGGGTCAGTAAATACATTAAGAAGAAAATTTTTAAATGTCTTGAAACAAATGAAGCACAAGGCCTATGGGATAATGCAAAAGTAGTGCTAAGAGGGAAGTTCATATTAATAAACACCTATATCAAAAGAGCAGAAAGATTTCAAATAAACAACCTAATGATTGTTTATTATTCCAGGAACTAGAAAAGAGAGAAAAAACAAAACCCAAAATTAGTAGAAAGAAACAAATAATAAATGTCAGAGCAGAAATAAATGAGAGAAACTAAAAAACTACAAAATATCAACAAAATAAAAAGTTAACTTTTTGAAAAAATAAACAAAATCAATAAACTTCTAGCTAGACTACCCAAGAAAAAAAGAGAGACGACTCAAGCAAATAAAATCAGAAACAAACAAACAAACAAAAAGAGATATAACTGATACCACTGAAATATAATCATGAACAACAATCCACTAACAAATTGGAATACCTAGAAGAAACTAGATATACTCCTGAACACATAAAACCTACAAAATTGAAACAGAAAACCTGAACAGACCAATAATGAGTAACAAGATTGAATCAGTAATTAAAAGTCTCCCAAAGAGTGTAAATTAGTTCAACCATTATGGAAGACGATGTGGCGTTTCCTCAAGGATCTGGAACCAGAAATACCTTTGACCCAGTAATCCCATTACTGGGTAGATACCAAAAGGATTATAAATCATTCTGCTATGAAAACACATGCACACGTATGTTTACTGCAGCATTATTTACAATAGCAAAGATTTGGAACCAACCCAAATGTCCATCAATGATAGACTGGATTAAGAAAATGTGGCACATATACACCATGGAATACTATGCAGCCATAAAAAGGATGAGTTCATGTCCTTTGCAGGGACATGGATGAAGCTGGAAACCATCATTCTCAGCAAACTAACACAAGAACAGAAAACCGAACACCGCATGTTCTCATTCATAAGTGGGAGTTCAACAATGAAAACACATGGACACAGGAAGGGGAACATCACACATCAGGCCTGTTGGGGGTTGGGGGGCAAGGGGAGGGAGAGCATTAGGACAAATACCTAATGCATGTGGGACTTAAAACCTAGATGATGGGTTGATGGGTGCAGCAAACCACCATGGCACATATATACCTATGTAACAAACCTGCACATTCTGCACATGTATCTCAGAACTTAAAGTATAATTAAAAAAAAAAAAGTCTCCCAACAAAGCAAAGCCCAAGACCAAATGGCTTTACTGCTGAATTGTACACAACTTAGAAAGAATAAACACCAATTCTTCTCAAATGATTCCAAAAAATTGAAGAGGAGGGAATTCTTCTTAACTGATTCTGCAAAGCCAACATTATTTTGATATCAAAACCAGACAAAGACACAACAACAAAAAAGAAAACTACAGACCAATATCATGGATGAACTTAGATGCAAAAATTCCAACAAAATACTAGCAAAGCAAATCCAACAACATATCAAAAAGATAATACACCATGATTAAGTGGGATTTATCCTGGGGATGCAAGGAGTTTGTTCAATAAACATATTTGAACATTTTTTGGAGATTTGTGACAACTTGATAAAGCTCAGCCAGGTGTGGTGGCTCACACCTGTAATTCCAGCACTTTGGGAGGGCGAGGCAGAGGGATCACCTGAGGTCAGGAGTTCGAGACCAGCCTGGCCAACACAGTGAAACCTCATCTCTACTAAAAATACAAAAATTAACTGGGTGTGGTGGCGGATGCCTGTACTCCCAGCTACTCAGGAGGCTGAGGCAGGAGAACTGCTTGAACCCAGGAGGCAGAGGTTGCAGTGAGCCAAGATTGTGCCACTGCACTCCAGCTTGGGCAACAGAGTGAGACTCCATCTCAAAAAAAAAAAAAAAGACAAAGAAAAAGCTCACAGATGAACACAGCCTAGAAATATCAAAAAATGAAGAAAAGTTAGCAATGTCATGAATAGATAAAATACACGTAGATACTGGTCTATTTTATCATTTACTACCATAAAATGTATTATAAAAAGCTAAAATTTATCAAAACTTACACAAACACTTACAGACCATACATGGCACATTCATAGTCAAGAGAAATGTTAACAAATGTACAGGTACAGTATTAAATCATAGTTGAATAAAATTAACTACAGTACATACGGTATTACTGTAATACTTTTGTAGCCACCTTCTGCTGCTATTGCAGTGAGCTCAAATATCCACTTAAAACACGATGTAGGCCGGGGGCAGTGGCTCATGCCTGTAATCTCAGCACTTTGGGATGCTGAGGCAGCAGGATCACATGAGGTCAGGAGTAGTTCCAGACCAGCCTGGCCAACATGGCAATACCCTGTCTCTACTAAAAATACAAAAATTAGCCGGGTGTGGTGGCACATGCCTGAAATCCCAGCTATTCAGGAGGCTGAGGCAGGAGAATCACTTGAATTCAGGAGGCGGAGGCTGCAGTGAGCCAAGATTGCACCACTGCACTCCAGCCTGGGCGACAGAGCGAGACTCTGTCTCAAAAAATAAAGTACCATATAATGTAATCATCACTGCATGAGTAGTTTGTATCTCCAGTCAATTGTGTATTGCAGTAAAAAGTGATCTCTCCCAGTTTTCACGTAATTTCCATCACGTTTAGTACAGTAACATAAACCTTGAATAACACCATGGTACCTATACGAAGTGTCAGTAGTAATGCTGAAAGTACAACCAAGAAGCAGAGAAGAGTCATGATGTCACAAGAAAAATTAAATGCTTGATATGTACTGTAGATTCAGGTCTGCAGTTGTAGTTACCCACCATTTCTGACAGACAAATTCGTCTTGTAAACAGATGATGTAAATGTACAATATCAATGAATACAGTACAGTACTATAAATGTATTTTCTCTTCCTTATGATTTTCTTAGTATTTTCTTTTCTCTAGCTTACTTTGTTGTAAAAATACATTATATAATATATATATAACATGCAAAATATGTGTTAATTGACTGTTTATCAGTAAGGTTTCCAGCCAACCATAGAATATTAGTGATTAAGTTCTGGGGACATCAAAAGTTATATGTAGGTTTTTGACTATGTGGGTTTCAGTGTCTCTAACCCCTACATTGTTCAACAGTCGACTGTATACTGAAAGACACTGTTTCAAGTAAGATTAACTGATCCATTGTGACAAATGCTGCTAGTAAGGCAAGTGAAATGAGAATTGATCATTGGATTTAGCAATATGAAGATCATAGGTGACTTTGTCAAGTGCCATTTAGTGGCATGGTAAGGATGAGACACAAGTGATAATGGCAAGAGAAGAAACAATAAAGACAATGAGTATGACAACTTTCTGTAGAGATTTCCTGTAAGGAGAGCAGAGAAAAGGGACCATAGCAGGAAGGGAAGGTGTAGTTCTAAGAGACCTGGGACATTTTTGTTTGTGTTTTTTGTTTTTAAGATGGGAGTAATTATAGCATATTTGCATACTGATGGGATTAATCAGCTAGAGAGGGAAAAATTAATGATGCAAAAAAGAGAAGGAACGTTTGCTGCAAGTTTCTCAAGTAAGTAACAGGGGATATGAAAGTATACAAACAAGAGATTGGCCTTAGAAAGGAGCAGACTATAGTTAACAAAAGGGAAAACGGAATATATAAGCACAGATGCAGGTGGGTGGATAGATGTGGGGGTGACAGCTTAAGTTCTCTTCTGTTTGCTTCTACTTCTTAGAAAGCAAGATCATCAGCTTATAAAGAGGGTGGAAAGGTAGGATTGAAGGTATAAGGATAGAAGACTAAGTATAGAAGTCACCTCGAAAAACAAGAAAGTTATACTACAGAAAAAAGTAGTATATAGAGTAGGCAAAAATTGAATAAAGTATCTCATGTTACATATTAGTCCATTTTCATGCTGCTGATAGACATACCCAAGACAGGGTGATTTTTTTTTTTTTTTTTTGAGACGGAGTCTCGCTCTGTTGCCAGGCTGGAGTGCATGATGTCGGCTCACTGCAACCTCCGCCTCCCAGGTTCAAGCAATTCTCCTGCCTCAGCCTCTTGAATAGCTGGGACTGCAGGCGCATGCCACCACGCACAGTTAATTTTTGTATTTTTAGTAGAGATGGGGTTTCACCACGTTGGCCAGGATGGTCTCTATCTCTTAACCTCGTGATCCGCCTGCTTCAGCCTCCCAAAGTGCTGGGATTACAGGCTTGAGCCACCTTGCCCGGCCCCGAGACTGAATAATTTATAAAGGAAAAGAGGTTTAATGTACTCACAGTTCCACGTGGCTGGGGAGGCCTCACAATCATGGTGGAAGGTGAAAGGCCCCTCTTACATAGCGGCAGGCAAAGAGAGAATGAAAGCCAAGCAAAAGGGGTTTCCCCTTATAAAACAATCAGGTCTCGTGAGACTTACTACCACGAGAACAGTACAGGGAAACCACCCCCACGATTCAATTATTTCCCCCCAAGTCCCTCCCACAACACGTGGGAATTATGGTAGCTAAAATTTAAGACAATATTTGGGTGGGGACACAGCCAAACCATATTATGCTAGTAAAGAATAAAATAGAATAAAAGTAAAAATACATTTCTGAATTTAGATCTTAGGTACATTTGGTTTTTCTTGACATTTAAAAAATTCAATCACTCTTCAATCAATTTTTTAGAAAGCACAGGAATAGGCTGTATTAAAAGAGATATAAAACAAGATGTAATGTGTGTTCTTAGATTGGATACTGGTTTGGCTAACCCAACTATGAAATGTATTTTGGAAAAACTTGGTAAAATTTTAATATCTAGCTAATTTATGAAGTAAAAATTTACTGAAATAGGCAGACGTTCTTTTTTTTTTTTTTTTTTTTGAGATGGAGTTTTGTTCTTGTTGCCCAGGCTGAAGCACAATGGCACAACCTCAGCTCACCGCAATCTCTGCCTCCCAGGTTCAAGCGATTCTCCTGCCTCAGCCTCCCAAGTAGCTGGGATTACAGGCATGTGGCACCACACCTGGCTAATTTTGTATTTTTAGTAAAGAAAGGGTTTCTCCATGTTGGTCAGGCTGGTCTCGAACTCCCGACCTCAGCTGATCCACCCGCTTTGACCTCCCAAAGTGCTGGGATTACAGGTGTGAGCCACCGCACCTGGCCGTACACATTCTTTTTATCATTTGTTTGTTTCTGTGTCCTTTTTTTTTTCTTTTTTTTTTTTTTTTTTTTTTTGAGACAGAGTCTCGCTCTGTTGCCCAGGCTGGAGTGCAGTGGCATGATCTCGGCTCACTGCAAACTCTGCCTCCTGGGTTCACGCCATTCTCCTGCCTCACCCTCCCAAGTAGCTGGGACTACAGGCGCCTGCCACCATGCCCGGCTAATTTTTTTTGTATTTTCAGTAGAAACGGGGTTTCACTGTGTTAGCCAGGATGGTGTTGATCTCCTGACCTCGTGATCTGCCCACCTTGGCCTCCCAGAGTGCTGGGATTACAGGTGTTAGCCACCACACCTGGCCATCTTCTCTTTTTTTTTTTTTATTTCTTCCCTAATTTTTAAATTTTATTTTTCCATAAGTTATTGGGGTACAGGTGGTATCTGATTACATGAGTAAGTTCTTTAGTGGTGATTTGTGAGATTTTGGAGCACCCATCACTCGAGCAGTATACACAGCACCATATTTGTGGTATTTTATCCCTCATCCCCCTCCCACTCTTTCCCCCAAGTCCCCAAAGTGTATTATTCTTATGCCTTTGCATCCTCCTAGCTTAACTCCCACGTATCAGTGAGAACATACAATGTTTGGTTTTCCACTCCTGAGTTACTTCACTTAGAATAATGGTCTCCAATCTCATCCAGGTCACTGCAAATGCCATTAATTCATTCCTTTTTATGGCTGAGTGGTATTCCATCATATATATATATACACCACAGTTTTTTTATCCACTCGTTGATTGATGGGCATTTGGGTTGGTTCTACGATTTTGCAATTGTGAATTGTGCCACTATGAACATGCCCATGCAAGTATCTTTTTCATATAATGACTTCTTTTCCTCTGGGTAGATACCCAGTAGTGAGATTGCTGGATCAAATGGTAGTTCTACTTTTAGTTCTTTAAGGAATCTCCACACTGTTTTCCACAGTGGGTGTATTAGTTTACATTCCCACCAGCAGTGTAGAAGTGTTCCCTAATCACTGCATCCATGGCAACATCTGATTTTGATTTTTTGATTATAGCCATCCTTGCAGGAGTAAGGTGGTACTGCATTGTGGTTTTGATTTGCATTTCCCTTATCATTAGTGATGTTGAGCATTTTTTCATATGTTTGTTGCCCATTTGTATATCTTCTTTTGAGAATTGTCTATTCATGTCCTTTGCCCACTTTTTGACGTGATTGTTTGTTTTTTCTTACCGATTTGTTTGAGTTCATTGTAGATTCTGGATATTAGTCCTTTGTCAGATGTATAGATTGTGAAGATTTTCTCCCATTCTGTGGGCTGTCTGTTTACTCTGCTGACTGTTCCTTTTGCTGTGCAAACACTCTTTAGTTTAATTAGGTCCCAGATATATATCTTTGTTTTTATTGCTTTTGCTTTTGGGTTCTTGGTCATGAAATCCTTGCCTAAGCCAATGTCTAGAAGGGTTTTCCAATGTTATGTCTAGAATTTTTATAGTTTCAGGTCTTAGATTTAAGTCCTTAGTTCATCTTGAGTTGATTTTTGTATAAGGTGAGAGATGAGGATCTGGTATCATTCTCCTACATGCGGTTAGCCAATTATCCCAGCACCATTTATTGAAAAGGGTGTCCTTTCCCCACTTTATGTTTTTGTTTGCTTTGTTGAAGATCAATTGGCTGTAAGTATTTGGGTTTATTTCGGGATTCTCTATTCTGTTCCATTAGTCTACGTGCCTATTTTTATACCAGTACCACACTGTTTTGGTGACTATAGCCTGAAATAGGTCGACATTCTTAACTGAAAAAATGTTGATTGTAGAATAGTGCATACAATACAATTTTGGTTTTAACTATACATATACATGTGAGTACATGTACACAGAAACAAGACCCATAGCACCAGCCTGCCTGCTTCCTCCCAATACTGCAGCTTCCCCCAGGCCCACAGCAATGCCCCACATCACTTTGCTGGCCCATGTGTGTGCAGGCATGTTTTGCTTTCCTTGCCTCACCAGCATGCATGTGTGCATACACCCTGCCCTGCCACTGATATGGCAGTAGTACATTCTGCCCTTCCACACCCTCCCCCCAACCCCTGCCACAAGGCTTTGATCCATTACAGTGACAGCCTTGGTGGGCAGACACCCAGCCAGTCCCACCCCCACAAGCACCCTGCCCTTAGTGGCAACACTCCTCCAAGAGTAAAACTAAGCTCAGAGAACAGTGGACTCTCCCCTGCCCTGAGTGACCACCCCTGCCTGCAGCTCACAGAGAATGCACATAGACCTGCATCTGCCAGAGCCTTGCCCCCATGCTAAGACCACCACCAGCACAACTGTGCACACAGTTGCCAGCAGGGGCCCCCCAACCCTCTTCCAGCTGTGCTGCCTCCACTCTGTGGTGACACCCACATGGAAGCAGGCACCCCAGCACCTGTTGCAGCCAATGAGAATGCACCCCCACAACATTGCCACTACTGCTGCTGCTGACACATGAAAACAAGGGCAGATCCCACTGCCACAGCACTATGAAAGGCTTTGGCTGACACCACCCAACAGAGTGTAGTGACCAGTGGTCCAGGAGCACCTCAGCTCCCCCCAGTGCAGTGGATTCCTAACCTCAAGGAGCAGAGAACAAAGCTGGTCCCAATACAAGTCCCCCAGAGTTGGAGTACACGGTCCAGGAGTTGGAAGCTGAGCGTTGGCCCCCTAGAATCTTCCAGAAATAAAGCCAGTTGGTTGAATCCATTTTATACCACAATCAAACTCTCGATGTCATCATATAGGATAAAAGGGGAAAAAAACACCCAAACATCAGCAACTTCAAAGATGAAACAAACATCAGCCCACAAATATGAGAAAAAAACAACACAAGGACTCTGACAACTCAAAAAGCCAGAGTGCCTTCTTTCCTCCAAATGATCGCACCACCTCTCCAGCAAGGGTTCTGAACTGGGCTGAGATGGCAGAAATGACACAAACAGAATTCATGCTATGGATAGGAATGAAGATCATTAAGATGCAGGAGTATGCTGAAACCCAATTCAAGGATGCTATGAATCACAATAAAATGATAAAGGAGCTGACAGACAAAATAGCCAGTATAAAAAAGACTGTAACTGGGCTGATAGAGCTGAAAAAATGTTCTACAATAACTTCATAATGCAATTACAAGTATTAATAGCAGAATAAACCAAGTTGAAGAAAGAATCTCAGAACTTGAAGACTGGTTTTCTGAAATAAGAGAGTCAGACAAGAATAGAGAAAAAAGAATAAAAAGGAATGAACAAAACCTTGGAGAAATGTGGGATTATGTAAAGATACCAAATCTATGACTCATTGATGTCCCTGAAAGAGATAGGGTGAGTGTAAGCAACTTGGAAAACATATTTTAGGGTATCATCCATGAGGATTTCCCCAACGTAGGTAGAGAGACCAACATTCAAATTCAGAAAATGCAGAAAACCCTAGTACAATACTTCACAAGAAGATCATCCTCAAGGCACATAATCATCAGATTCTCAAAAGTCAAAATAAAAGAAAAAAGGTTAAAGGCATCTAGAAAGAAAAGTCAGGTCACCTACAAAAGGAAGCCCATCAGACTAACAGTGGACCTCTCAGCAGAAACCCTACAAGCCGTAAGAGATTGGAAGCCAATATTCAACATTCTTTAAAAAAAGAAATTCCAACCCAGAATTTTATATATGTCCAAACTAAGCTTCATAAGTGAAGGGGAAATAAGATCCTTTATAGACAAGCAAGTGCTGAGAAAATTCATTACCACCAGATCTGCCTTAAAAGAGCTCCTGAAGGAAGCACTAAATATGGAAAGGAAAGACCATTACCAGCTGCTATTAAAAAACACATAAGTACACAGACCAGTGACACTATGAAGCAACCACACAAACAAGTCTGCATTATAACCAGCTAACATGATGACAGGATCAAATCTATATATATCTTTACTGGTTTACCTTAAATGTAAATGGGCTAAATGTCCTGATTAAAAGGCACAGAGTTGCAGGCTGGATAAAGAAACAAGACCCATTGGTATGCTATCTTCAAGAGACTCATCTCACATGCAATGACACCCATATGCTCAAAATAAAGGGATGGAGAAAAATCTACCAAGCAAATGGAAAAATCCATTCTGAGTGATTGATACATAAATTATACATTAATACATAAATTATAATTTAGTCATATGGTTAATATTATAGTGCAGAAATATTTGTTCTATATGCATCATAACGAGAAGATCTCAAAAGAATAGTATTTAGTTGGTAAAAGCAAGTTTTTTTTTTTTTGAGATGGAGTCTTGCTCTGTCGCCCAGGCTAGAGTGCTGGAGTGCAGTGGCGCAGTCTCGGCTCACTGCAACCTCCGCCTCCTGGGTTCAAGCAATTCTCCTGCCTCAGCCTCCCAAGTAGCTGGGACTACAGGTACGTGCCACCATGTCAGCTAATTTTTTGTATTTTTAGTAGAGACAGGGTTTCACCGTGTTGGCCAGGATGGTCTCGATCTCCTGACCTCATCATCCACCCACCTCGGCCTCCCAAAGTGCTGAGATTACAGGCGTGAGCCACTGTGCCCAGCCGCAAATTTTTTTATATGTAACTATGTATTATAGTAAAATATAAAAACATGGATAGGAAAGTTACATACCAACTATTGATTAGTGATTAACTCTGGGGAGGGAAGAAGCAGAATGGAGATATATAGAGATACAGACATAGATATAGATGTATTTTTTTAAATCTCCAAATATTTTTCTTTTTTTTTTTTTTTCTTTTTATGGGACAGAATCTCACTCTGTCACCCAGGCTGGAGTGCAGTGGCACAAACTCAGCTCACTGCAACCTCTGCCTCCTGGGTTCAAGCAATTCTCATGCCTCAGCCTTCCACGTAGCTAGGATTACAGGCAAGCACCTCCACCTCCAGCTAATTTTTGTATTTTTAGTAGAGATGGGGTTTTGCCATGTTGGCCAGGCTAGTCTCAAACTCTCAACCTCAGGTGATCCACCTGCCTCAGCCTCCCAAAGTGCTGGGATTACAGGCGTGAACCACCATGCCTGGCCTAAATCTCCAAATATTTCTATAAAATTTTGTTTCCTAAAAATGGGGTGTGAAACAAGTATGACATAATGGCTGACATTTGGTAATTCATGAAAGGTAAATGAGTACTCACTATAATGCTTTCTTTTTCTGAATGTCTGAAATATTTCATGACATAAAATTTCATTAAAAGCAACCATTATAAGAATATTTCATATTGTCATAGCACTGACTATATGCCAAGCACCATTCTAAGTGCTTTACTTATATTACTTCCTTTAATACTCGTAATAACCTATGAGGTAGGTAATATTATTATCCCAATTTTACATATGGGCAAACTTAGGCCCAGAAAAGTTAAGTGACTTCCCAAAGGTCACACAGCAAACAGTATGGTTCCAGAATCTATGTTATCTATGCTCACTGTTTCTTTACCCTTTCTTTTAGAAAACCAGAAAGTAATAGCCTGCAATCCTCACTCAATGAAAATGATTAATGCAGAAAGCAACGGTCTATCTCCAAGAGAAAAAATCATGTTTTACCTTCTTTGCACCCAGAATGAGAAATCAACTAAATTCAGATAAAGTAAGCTATCTATATGTGATTTTAGAATTCAAGAAGTTATAGTATCATATATATTATTTCAGAAGCTATATAAGCTTCTTCCTTTTCCCCTATGTAAGCTAAACAAACTTTAAGCAACTCACTTGGCATTCTTTTCCGCATTTAAAAGAGCTTGTGCCAAATCCTTGTGGGCTTTTTCTGTTTCCTTTGTTAATTTCACATCATGTGCCCGAACTAGACACAGTTCCCTGAAATAAAGCAAAGAAATTTTTAATTCATATTTGGAGATTTCCAAAAAGTTTCTACCAAGAAAATCAGATTTATATTCAGGAATCTTCTCAGTTATCATGTGTACCTCCCTTCCCAGTTTTTCCACCTTATAAACCAAATCAAGAAATTGAGTGTACATTCTAGATGGAATCTTGCCAGGTTTGGAAATGAAATCAGGCTGGCAGGAATCAGACAGAAATAAGATGTAGGGGAGATCCTTTAGAATGGAGGGAGGCAGATGCTGACATGCAAGGCCGCCATGCTGGTCTACCCTGCTTTCTGATATGACTATCCTATCTTCTTTATTCTCACCACTAACCATCTTGCTTCAAGGTTAAAAGTTAGATGATCACTAACTTTGATGGCTATATGATACTTATTCTCTTTGAGATGTTAACATCCATAATGTTAACATCCATAATTATGGCACTGTTCTATAAACCTGATTAAGGTAAACATCTGTATTTTATTTTATTTTATTTTTCTGAGACAGGGTCTCGCTCCGTCACCCAGGCTAGAGTGCAGTGGCATGATCTTGGCTCACTGCAACCTCCACCTCCCGGGTTCAAGTGATTCTCCTGCCTCAACCTCCCCAGTAGTTGGGATTATAGGCATGTGCCACCACGCCTGTCTAATTATTTGTATTTTTAGTAGAGATGGGGTTTCACCATGTTGGCCAGGCTGGTCTCAAACTCCTGACCTCAAGTGATCCTCCCGCCTCAGCCTCCCAAAGTGCTGGGATTACAGGTGTGAGCCACCATGCCCAGCAACATCTATATTTTAGAAGAAAGAGTAAGTCTTTTCCATGTCAAATATATACAGAGTCTTCATTTTTATGTGAACTTGCATAACCCATTTATCTATATCTATATCTACAATGACATCTAGTTCTTTTTGTTCTCTTGCTAAACATGAAAAGGAAACAGAAGAACCTTGGCCTTTAACCATTCCACTTTCCCTAAATATTTTTTACTCCCTTTAGAGACATGACATTGACTTTTGTTTTGTGTTTAAGATAATCACAGTTTTTACCTGGTCAGTTCTTCAATAACATGCTTGAAATTATACAATTCTTCTAAAATGCGCTGGTCCATCACTCGCTGAGTTACCAAGTCTTTGTAGAAATCAATCATCTGCCGAGCAATCTGGTCAAGCATTTGCACATACCTCTCTCTGCATGACAAACAACCAAAAAGCTCCTAGATCTGATAAATGAATTTAGTAAATTCTCAGGTTACAAAATCAATGTACACAAATCAGTAGCACTGCTATACACCAAGAAAACCAAGCTGAGAATCAAATCAAGAAATCAATCCCTTTTACAACAGCTGCAAAAAAAAAGAAAAAGAAAAAGAAAAGAAAATACTTAGGAATATACTTAACCAAGGAGACGAAAGATCTCTACAAGAAAAACTACAAAACACTATTGAAAAAACATTGCATGTGACACAAACAAATGGAAACACATCCCATGTTCATGGATGGGTAGAATCAATATTGTGAAAATGACCATACTGCCAAACTCAATCTACAGATTCCATGCAATTCCCACCAAAAATACCATCATCATTCTTCACAGAACTGGAAAAAAAAAATCCTAAAATTCATATGGAACCAAAAAAGACCCCACATAGCCAAAGAAATACTAAACAAAAAGAATAAATCTGGAAACATCACATTACCTGACTTCAAACTATACTACAAGGCTATAGTTACCAAAACAGCATGGTACGGGTATAAAAATAGGCACATAGACCAACGGAACAGACTAGAGAATCCAGAAATAAACTCAGATACTTACAGCCAACTGATCTGCAACAAAGCATACAAAAACATAATGTGGGGAAAGGACACCCTTTTCAACAAATGGTGCTGGGATAATTGGCAAGCCATATGTAGAAGAATGAAACTGGATCCTCATCTCACACCTCATACAAAAGTCAACTCAAGATGGATCAAAGACTTAAAGACCTGAAACCATAAAAATTCTAGAAGATAACATCAGAAAAACTCTTCTAGACATTGGCTTAGGCAAAGAATTCATGACCAAGAACCCAAAAGCAAATGCAACAAAAACAAAAATAAATAGATGGGACCTAATTAAACTAAAGAACTTCTGCACAACAAAAGAAATAATCAGCAGGTTAAACAGACAACCCACAGAGAGGGAGAAAATATTCATAAACTATGCACCTGGCAAAGGACTAGTACCCAAAATCTACGATGAACTCCAACAAATCAGCAAGAAAAAAACAGATAATTTCACCAAAAAGTGGGCAAAGGACATGAATAGACAATCCTCAAAAGAAGATATACAAACAGGCAACAAACATGAAAAAATACTCAACATCACTAATTATCAAGAAAATGCAATTTAAAACTACAATGAAATATCACCCTACTACTGCAAGAATGGCCATAATTTAAAAAATCAAAAATAAATGTCAGCTTGGATGTGGTGAAAAGAGAACACTTTTACACTGCTGGTGGGAATGTAAACTAGTACAACCACTATGGAAAACAGTATGGAGATTCTTCAAAGAACTAAAAGTAGAACTACCATTCAATCTAACAATCCCACTACTGGGTATCTACCCACAGGAAAATAAGTCATTATATGAAAAAGACACATGCACATGCATGTTTACAGTAGCACAATTTGCAACTGCAAAAATATGGAACCAACCTAAATGTCCATCAAGCAATGAGTGGATAAAGAAAATGTGGTATATACACACTATGGAATACTACTTAGCTATAAGATGAAATGAAATAATGGCATTTGCAGCAACTTGGTTGGAGTTTGAGACCATTATTCTAAATGAAGTAACTCAGGAATGGAAAACCAAATATTGTATGTTCTCACTTATAAATAGGAGCTAAGCTATGAGGATGCGAAGGCATAAGAATGATATAATGGACTCTGGGGTCTGAGGAGGAAGATTAGGATGGGGGTGAGGAATAAAGACTACATATTTGGTACAGTGTACACTGCTCAGCGGGTGATGGGTTATATTAGTCCATTCTCACAGCGCTATAAGGATATACCCAAGACAGGGTAATTTATAAAGGAAAGAGATTTAATTGACTCTCAGTTCCACAGAGCTGGGGAGGCCTCAGGAAACTTACAATCATGGCAGAAGGGAAAGCAAACATGTCCTTCTTCACATGGCAGCAGGAAGGAGAAGAATGAAAGCCCAGAAAAGGAAGAAGCCCTTTATAAAACTATCAGATCTCTGGCCAGGCACAGTGACTCATGCCTGTAATCCCAGCACTTTGGGAGGCTGAGACAGGTGAATCACCTGAGGTCAGGAGCTTGAGACTAGCCTGGCCAACACAGTGAAACCCTCTCTCTACTAAAAATACAAAAAATTAGCTGGGCATGGTAATGCATACTTGTAATCCTAGCTACTTGGGAGGCTGAGGCAGGAGAATCACCTGAACCCAGGAGCTGGAGGTGGCAGTGAGCTGAGATTGCGCCACTGCACTACAGCCTGGGCAACAGAGTGAGACTCCATCTCAAAAATAAATAAATAAATAAGTAAATAAATAAATAAATAAATAAAATCATCAGATCTCATGAGAACTAATTCACTATCACAAGAACAGAATGAGGGAAACGGCCCTCATGACTCAACCATCTCTACCTGGTCCCTTCCACAACATGTGGGGATTATGGCAACAACAATTCAAGATGAGATTTGGATGGGGACACAGCCAAACCATACCACGAGTACACCAAAAATCTCAGAAATCACCACTCAAGAACTTATCTGTGTAACCAAAAACCACCTGTTCTCCAAAAACTATTGAAATAAAATAAGAGAAACAAGGTATCATGCAGAAGGAAAGGAAAAAAAGATAGAAAATATGCAAGAGAGAAAGTAATGTTAGGCAATAAAATAGTAAACAGACATTCCAAAAGATATGTGAGATGAACAATATAGGAAAAAAAAAAAAAAAAGAAGAAGTCTGGCCTCAGTGGCTCACGCCTGTAATCCCAACACTTTGGGGGCCCGAGGTGGGTGGATCACCTGATGTCGGGAGTTTGAGACCAGCCTGACCAACATGGATAAACCCTATCTCTACTAAAAATACAAAATTAGCCAGGTGTCATGGTGCATGCCTATAATCCCAGCTACTCAGTAGGCTGAGACAGGAGAATCACTTGAACCTGGGAGGCAGAGGTTGCAGTGAGCCAAGATTGCACCATTGCGCTCCAGCCTGGGCAACAAGATCGAAACTCCATCTCAAAAAAATAAATAAATAAAAAATAAAAAGCACAGAAGCAGAATGCTGTGGCTTCATTAAAAAAGAAAAAAAAAGGAATCTAGGCTGTGTTTTCCTGCCATGCCATACAAGTGAGTGAACAATTGTAGAAAATTGTAGAGCCCTAATTATTTGGAATATCATATGTTAGACGTAAAACAAAAATAAAAACTTGTTTTATTCCTTCTTCTAGATATAAATTCTTTGAGACTAGAAACGATGTCTTACATATTTGTATTTTTACAACATCTAACAGCATGACTTAACGTATAGTGAGATTCTTATAAATAGTTAAATTCATGAATAAAGCCATTTTTTCAAATTGACAACATGTAAAACGACAACTATTTAAACACAAACAAAAATCTTTAATACAAAGAAGTCATTTCTTTTGCTTCTGAATAAAACCAAACAAAATATTTGGAAGTGATCACAGATGATAAATTATAAATACCATAACAGAATAGTATTCATTTATATTAACAGTGATCTAGGCCAGGCGTGATGGCTCACACCTGTAACCTCAGCACTCTGGGAGACCGAGGCAGGTAGATCACTTGAGGCCAGGAGTTCAAGACCAGCCTAGCCAACATGGAAAAACCTTGTATCTACTAAAAATACAAAAATTAGTGTGGCATAGTGGCACATGCCTATAATCCCAGCTACTTGGGTGGCTGAGACACAAGAATCACTTGAGCCTGGGAGGCAGAGGTTGCAGTGAGCAGAGATCTCACCACTGCACTCCAGCCTGGGTGACAGAGCAAGACTGTCTTAAAAAAAAAAAAAAAACTGATCTAGGTGTTACACCCTAAGCCTGAGGTCCTAGATTTGTAATATGTCTGAGTTGACTGGTCGTTTAATCTTTCATTCATTGACAGAAAGAATTATCCAGCCCTTGCTTTAAGGCTGAAAGTGGCAGGGAGTTTATCACCTCAAGATGCAGCTCATATATTGGAAATATCAATTTAAAAAACATCATCTTTAGGATTTCCCCCTCCTGACAATATAGGAACTAAATACTCTGAAGGACCTTCCCATTACAATCCAACTAGATCCATAAGAGAACACACTTTTCAAAGCATTACTGAGTTTGCAGGAAGAAACAGAAGACTCTAGGGATGAAAAACAATAAGAACAAACAAAAAATAGTAAGTTAGAAATGGAGTGGGAGTTGTAAGCAGTAAGCAAACCCAAGGTCAGGATGGTCCCCAGGAAAATACCAACACTGAGAACCAGAGACTAAGCCTTGGGCTGACTTCAAAGTGGGAGACGTGGGCAAGTGTAGGACTACTGCATGAATCCCAGATTCCAGAAGGGAGCACATACAAATCTTCTTTTTCCAGAAAGCATCCTGGATTCATGCCCTGAGGATCCCATGGCCAAGGTCAGTGAAATATTAGCTCCACAAGCAAAGGCTGCAAAATACTAATGTAAATAAACCACCATGAATGAGACTCAGAAGAAATAACCAATAGCAGATTTTATAAGACTACGCATGAAATGTTTGAGAAATAAAAGTTAGAATCTAAAAATGGGCTGGGCATGGTGGCTCACACCTGTAGTCCCAGCACTTTGTGGGGCTGAAGTGGGCAGACCACCTGAAATTAGGAGTTCGAGACCAGCCTGGCCAACATGGTGAAACCCCGTCTCTACTAAAAATGCAAAATTAGCCAGGCATGGTGGCGCATGCCTGTAATCCCAGCTACTCAGGAGGCTGAGGCGGGAGAATCACTTGAATGCGGAGGTGGAGGTTGCAGTGAGCTGAGATCGTGCCATTGCACTGTAGCCTGGGTGACGAGTGAAACTCCATCTCAAAAAAAAAAAAAAAAAGAATCTAAAAATGAATAAGCAATAAAATTATTATATTTGATGAGACAAACGTGGAAACAAACCAACAAAACTCTTAAGGGAGGCCAGGCACAGTGGCTCACACCTGTTATCCCAGCACTCTGGGAGGCTGAGGTGGGCGGATCGCTTGAGGCCAGGAGTTCAAGACTAGCCTGGCCAATATGGCGAACCCTGTCTCTACTAAAAATACAAAAAAAAAAAAAAATAGCCAGGCATGGTGGTGTGTGCCTGTAGTCCCAGCTACTTGGGAGGCTAAGGCACAAGAATCACTTGAACCCGAGAGTCAGAGGTTGCAGTAAGCCAAGATCGTGCCACTGCACTGCAGCCTGGGCCACAGCGAGATCCTGTCTCAAAAAAAAAAATCTCTTAGGGGAAAAATATAATTGTTGAGTTAATAATAGATGGGTTATAGCATAATAGACACACCTAGAGAAGACAGTAATGTCCTAGAACAAATTACTCAAAATGTAGGACAGAGACAAGAGGGAAACTATGAAAAAGAGATTAAGAGACAAAGAAGACAGAATGAGAATATCTAACATATATCTAATCAAAGCTCCAGAAACAGAAGACAGAATGCAGTACAGACATGAGTCAAAGATCATCACTGATAATTTCCCAACACTTCTGAAAGACATTAATCTATATAGTGAATTATGGTATAGATATAGGTACAGGAAATATAAAAAGAAATCCAGAGGAACTAAATTTACTTTCCTACCTGAAGTGACAACAACAAAACAAGGACAAAGAATAGGAAACCATTTTTAAGACACTGGATATCAGGCAATGAAAGAGAGTGATCCCTGAGAGACCAGAAATAAATAAAGCAAACCCTACAATTGTGCCAGCCTAATGCCTTGGGAGAGTTTTCCAGGCCATAGCACACTGAGAGGGAATCCAGGAAGACCCCAGTTGACTCTCTGAGTTAAGGAGACAGAGTTAACAGTCTAGAGAGATGAAAGCAGCTAGAGTTCAGAGGACAGAGTAGCAGAGAGAAAAGAGTTATACAAGATATGCAGAAGATCTCCCTCAAGTGTTCAGCTAAGTACTGATCAGGGCATAAATGTGAGAAAACTACCCAAGACCAAGGAAAGAACTACCCAAAAGGATCAGAGGTAAGAATGCCAGAACTCGCATAGAAGTAGTACCAGTACCAACCAACCAGACTGTAAAAACTCATGATTCATGGGACATTGGATATGGTACACAGAAAAGTTTTGTCTTGGTATTCAGAAATAATTAGCCCTAAATTGGGCACTGCTCTTGTCCCACCTAAAGACCTAACAGGATCAAATTTTTTTAAATAACTTAATTGTGTCCCAAAACAAAGCTAACGAATATTTGTATGAAAACAAAAATATACAGCATCCAAATAAGGCATAATTCATGACTGCCATCCAATCAAAATTACTGCTAGGTTTAAATGTTTCTCCCCTCATAACTAGTGTTGAAATTTAATTGTTATTATAACAGTATTAAGAGGTGGACCTTTCAGGAGGTGTTTAAGTCGTGAGGGCTCTGCCCTGATAAATGGACTAATGCCATTATTGCAGGAATGGGGTCATTATCGCACAAGTGGACCCACTCCCTCTTTCTCTCTCTCTCACCCTCTCACTTTCTGTCATGTTATGATTACCACAAGAAGGTTCTCACCAGATGATGGCACCTTTGTACACTGCACTTCCCAGCTTCCCAAACTGTGAGCCAATAAATCTCTGCTCATTATAAATTACCCCCCGTCTGTGATATTCTGTTATAGCAGCACAAGGCAGACTAAGACAATTACTAAACATGTAAAGAAGCAGGAAAACACACCTATGAGGAGAAAAATCAATGAATCAAAACTGACCCAGAACCAAAATAGACGGTAGAATTAACAGACAAAACCACTAAAAGTTATCTAACTACATTCTGTATGTTCAAAAAGTTAAGTAGAGACATGGAAGATATTTAAAAGACCCAAACTGACCTTCTAGAGATGAAAGCAAAAATGTCTGAGATGAAAATATATACTAGATAGGATTAAAGTAAGATCCTGTCTCTACAAAAAAAAATACAAAAAAATTAGCTGGGTGTGGTGGCACACACTTGTAGCCCCAGCTACTGAGGAGGCTGAGGTAGGCGGATCACTTGAGCTCAGGAGTTCAAGGCTGCAATGAGCCAAGATCATGCCACTGCACTCCAGCCTGGGTAACAGAGCAAGACTCTATGTCAAAAATAATAAGAATAGTAATAATAATTAGATAGGATTAAAAGCAGATTAGATATTATGGGAAAAAAAGATTAATGAACTTGAAGGTATAGCAATAGAAACTATCCAAAATGAAGACAAATAGAAAAGAGCAAAAATGTGTATAACATTAGTGATCTGTGGGACAACTTCAGTACTAGTGGCCTAATACATGTGTAAACAAATTCCCTCAAAAGAGGTGGAGGGACAGAAAAACACTTAAAGAAATAGCCAAAAATGTTCCATATTTGATGAAAACTATAAAGCCACAGACCAAAATGCTTAATAAGCACCAAGCACAAGAAACGTGAAAAAAAACTACACCAAGTCATAGCATAGTGAAACTGCTCAAAAGCAATGGTAAAGAAAAAATCTTAAGGCTGGGCTCGGTGGCTCACGCCTGTAATCCCAGCACTTTGGAAGGCCAAGGCAGGCAGATCACGAGGTCAGGAGTTCGAGACCAGCCTGACCAACATGGTGAAACCCCGTCTCTACTAATATACAAAATTAGCCGGGCGTGGTGGCAGGCGCCTGTAATCCCAGCTACTCGGGAGGCTGAGGCAGGAGAATTGCTTGAACCTTGGAGGCAGAAGTTGCAGTGAGCCGAGATCGCGCCATTGCACTCCAGCCTGGGCGACAGAGCGAGACTGTCTCAAAAAAAAAAAAAAAAAAAAAGGAAAAAATCCTAAAATCAGCTCCAGGAAAAACACACATTACGTTTGGGGGAATAAAGACAAGGATGGCAGCAGATTTCTCACTGGAAACAATGCAAATGAGAGTAGGGCAACAACATCTTTAAAGTACTAAATTTAAAAACTGTCTATATCCAACAAAAATATCTTTCAAAAATTCTCTTATTGCCCCAAGGCCAGGTACCAAACAACCAGGGACAACCCCTATTATGGAATGCCCAGTGAAATTATCCAAACAATCCAATCTTAAGCCTACTTAACCTGCCTCACTTATTCCTTCCCAAGGAAACCACAATAGAGGTGCCTCCCCACAGGTTCCCTCCCTCTCATTACCTCATGACTGACTTGGTGTCTCCCCGCAATGGCCCTGTATGGCATGCTGCTTCTCCCCAGGGAGCTGTGAGTATAACAAAACTATAAAACTCTTTCTGGGTTCTTTCTCTTGATCTGCATCAGGTCTCACTGTATCTCACCCAAGATAATATGGCTAAAATAAAATGAAAGCTATAGACCCTTTCCATATATTAACAAAAAAGAAAAAAAAATGCAGTTAGATTACTTACGATCAGTAGAATAGAGAAGTGCACTTTTGTGGCATTCTCAAAAGTAGATATAAAGACAAATCTAATATAAAAATCAAAAGGAAACTGGACCATTCCAATAACAGCACTAACCTGACTTTAGACAGAAGTTCTCCTCTGTCTGCACAGTCCACACTGACTTGTCGAATAAGTTCATGAAATATCATGTTGTAAATGGTCTGTTCCTTCTTCAATATATGTAGTAGTTTGTGCATCTGTCAGAAGGTAAGTAACATAATCAGTACTTATTACAGTCTTAGTAAAAAACATTTTAGGAGGTTAATACCTTGAATGTAAATAAGTTTTAGAAACACGTTGATTAATTTATTTCACTTACATTTTCATTTATATATATACAAAAGTGATATTTGATTTTTAAATGCTGGTCTGCCCAAGTGCAGTGGCTCACACCTGTAATCCCAACACTTTGGGAGGCCAAGGTGGGCAGATTGCTTGAGGCAAGGAGCTTGAGACCAGCCTGGGCAATATGGTGAGACCCTGTCTGTACAAAAAATATAAAAATTAGCCAGCCATGGTGGCACACGCCTGTAGTCCCAGCTACTCGGGAGGCTGAGGTGGGAGGATCCCCTGAGCCCAGGGAGGTTGCAGCTGCAGTGAGCCATAATCACAGTGTACTCCAGCCTGGGTGACAGAGTGAGACTTTGTCTCAAAAAAAAAAAAAAAATTGGTGCCTCTTTATCTGATGCACTGAAAAGGTCACAATATCACTTCTATGTTATAGCTGCCAAAAATAAAAAACCCCAATCTAAAATCATGACTATACATCTGACAAACCAAAATTGAAGAACATTCTACAGAGTAACTGGCTTGTGTTCTTCAAAACAACAAGGTCAAGAAAAACAAAGAAAGGCTGAGAAACTGTTTCAGATTAAAATTGTCTAAAGAAACATGACAACTAAAAGAACTATGTGATTTCTTAGATTCTGGACTAGGAAGAAAAAATAGCTATTTTTAAAAGCCATTACAGAGACAATTGATAAAATATAAAATTTAAATGTCTGTGTCAGATAATACTATCATATCAACATTAAATTTCCTGATAACTATATTATGGATATATAAGAGAATGTCCTTGTTTGTAGGAAATATATCCTGAATATCTGGGTATTAAAGAGGCATGATGTCTCCAACTCACTCTAAATGGTTCAGAACAAAGTGATGCATATGTAGACAGAGAAGGAGAGAGAATGAGAAAGCAAATAGGGCACAATGTAAATAACCAGATGGAGAATCCGGGTAAAGGTTACATAGCAGTGTCTTGTATTGAACTTTTTCTGTAAGTTTCCAATTCCAAACAAATAAAATACATAAAACAAAAAAGAAATAGCCCTGATAAAGAAAAAGGTCTCTATCTATGTAAGACTAAAAGAGTTCTTTCTTAAGTAGAAAATAAAAATTACAAGTGGTGGCCTGGTGCGGTGGTTCATGCCTGTAATCCCAGCACTTTGGGAGGGTGAGGTGGGCAGATCACTTGAGGTCAGGAGTTTGAGAACAGCCTGGCCAACATGGTGAAACCCCATCTCTACTAAAAATATACCTGGCAGTGTTTTTTAGTGTTACATAAAATAATAAGGGTCTTACAATCAATGATACCTTATATTTGGTGAAATAATAATACTAACAATTAATTATACAGTGTCTACCACATGCCAAGAACTGTTCTAAGCACTTTACATTTATTATGTCATTTCATCTCCACAAAAACCCTATGAGGTAGGTGATATTATTATCTCCAAAGTTCAGATGAGGAAACTGAGGTACAAATACATTAAATGACTTGTCCAAGGCCATTAGTAAATATATGGCAGGGTCAGAATTCTAACCTAGGCAATCTGCCTCCTGAGTGCATGCTCTTAGCCACCAGGTTGCATTCGGCTTTGCAATTACCTTCGTTGGTCCTGTATATTCCTGATTTTCCACACCAGCCCTCTCTAGCATAGTATCCATCACATCATTCAGCTGGGCCACTTCTACTCTTTTATTAGGTTTCCTAAAAAATTAAGGTGGCAGACTTATGCAATTAACATTGCAACAGGGAATTCTCAAATGGCAAAAAGAATATAATATGTGTAAAGAGAATATATATGCTCTCTGGGATATTAATGGCATTTTAAGCATTAGACCTGTGTCTATTAATCTATTGGGAGATCAATAATATAGTAGAAAAAAGGAAGAAAAATGCAAATAGTATGATTCTCTTTTTCATAAAAGAAAATAATGCTTCCCCCCAAAAAAAATTCTATATACCTATCATATAGCAGTGTAAGAACATAGAAAAAGAAAAAATGTAGGGAGATAAACATCAAACTTTTAACATTGGTTACCTCACAATGTGAGAGAAGAAAAGGGACAAAGAAAAGGAAAAAAAAGACTATAGCAAAATGGAGAAATACTAATGGTTAAACATAGAATATAAAAGTACTTTATCATATTTAAATATTATGCTATATATGTAAATATGTAAAATTTAATATGCAATTAGACAAATGAAATATATAAACATTGAATATACAATTGTAAAAACGAAAACACTGATTAGATGATGAACTTGTAGGCAATTATTGCCTTGGGTTGCTGCTATAATTTTAATAATTTTGTTTAATAAAGTACCAAGAAATGTGTATGTATATAGGTATTCTTTCTGAGAAAGACTTTAGAAAATAAACTGTACTTACATGGATGGGAAGAGCAATAGCCTGTTTTCACTATCTGTGAGGAGAGTAGTGTATTTGCTACAATAAATAAGATAGGTAAATGTTATTTTAAGAAAATTTTCTGGCCTGTTTATCAATTAGCACAACTAACCCCCAGAATCTTGGTTTCTAAGTACCATTCTCCACTAAAAGGAATGAGTACTGCTTGGAGAAGTGACTCACCACCCATTCCAGGGCTGGAGTTGGAAAATACAAGATGAACCTGGAAGTCTTATCAAGCCAGAAAATAAGTGTTCAAATAATCATCGGGACATGGCCAAAGAACACAAGAGAAAGCTCAAAGGAGCAGCCTTTGGCCATTGGCCAAATCTGGAAAAATTTGAGCATCAAAATAATGGGCCGGGCATGGTGGCTCACACCTGTAATCCTAACACTTTGGGAGGCTGAGGCGGGCAGATCACTTGAGGTCAGGAGTTCGAAACCAGCCTGGCCAACATGATGAAGCCCCGTCTCTACTAAAAATACAAAAGAATTAGCCGGGCATGGTGGCAGGCGCCTGTAATCCCAGCTACTCAGGAGGCTGAGGCAGGAGAATTGCTTGAACCTGGGAGGCGGGGGTTGCAGTGAGCAGAGATCGTGCCACTGCACTCCACCCATGACAGAGCGAGACTCTGTCTCAAAAAAATAAAAAATAAAAATAAAGGGCTGGGCGTGGTGGCTCATGCCTATAATCCCAGCACTTTCAGAGGCCAAGGCAGGAGTTCAAGACCAGCCTGGCCAACATGGTGAAACCCCGTCGCTACTAAAAATACAAAAAAAAAAAAAAAAAAAAAATTAGGTGTGGTGGCGCGTGCCTGTAATCCCAGCTACTCAGGAGGCTGAGGCAGAAGAATCGCTTAAACCCAGGAGGTGGAGGTTGCAGTGAGCCAAGATCACGCCACTGCACTCCAGCTTGGGCAACAACAGCAAAACTCCATCTCCAAAAAATAAAATAAAATAATGATAGTAAAGAATTAAAATCCATCAAATAAAATAGAAATCCATTATTCCATATGGTAAAATGCCAAATAACAAATTGGCAGAAGAAATAATGATCATACAGAAGAAATGATGAAATTTTAAAAAATTCATCAAGGCCAGGTGCAGTGGCTCACACCTGTAATCCCAGCACTTTGGGAGGCCGAGGTGGGTGGGTCACCTGAGGTCCGGAGTTCGAGACCAGCCTGGCCAACATGGCGAAACCCCATCTCTACTAAAATTACAAAAATTAGCTGGGCATGGTGGCAGGCACCTGTAGTCACAGCTACTCGGGAGGCTGAGGCATGAGAATTGCTTGAACCCAAGGGGCGGAGGTTGCAGTGAGCCGAGATCGCACCACTTCCCTCCAGCCCAGGTGACAAAGCAAGACTTTGTCTCAAAAAAAAAAAAAAAAAATCAGCCATGTGCTGTGGCTCATGCCTGTAATCCCAGCACTTTGAGAGGCCAAAGCGGGCAGATCACCTGAGGTCAGGAGTTCGAGACCAGCTTGGCTAACATGGTGAAACCCTGTTTCTACCAAAAATACAAAAAATTAGCCAGGCACCGTGGTGCCTGCCTGTAATCCCAGCTACTCAGGAGGCTGAGGCAGGAGAATCGCTTGAACCTGGGAGGCGGAGGTTGCAGTGAGCCGAGATCATGCCATTGCACTCCAGCTTGGGCAATAAGAGCGAAACTCCGTCTCAAAGAAAAAAAAAAAAAAAAAAAAGTCACCAAAAGATCTATAACTAATGGGTTGTTAGGAAATACACACTAAAGTATTTGGTGGTAGAAGTATTTGATTATTTACTCTTAAATAGTTTGAAAATATGTGCATGTGTATGCATGCTTGTGTATGTTTAAGAGCAAATGAGACAAAGTGTAAACAACCAGTGACTCAAGGTAGAGGGTATATAGGCATTCCTTTTCCCATTTTTGCAACATTTTTATGTCTGAAATTACATTAAAATAAAAGGTTACCCAAAAAATGAATTTCATTTGGTTCTCTTGGGCAAAATATTGTTCTGAAACATACCATCACAATGAAATGCAATATATTATAACATACATATTGGAAAGACAATATCAAAAGAGTGACAGCCTCTGGATATTTTATTATAAAACCTTAGTCCAAAGTTCTCATTTTCTAAACTATAAAACATTCAAGTGTTGTTTCAGAAAATAAAAGCAAGATCCTATTTTCAATCCCATAAACAGGAATCAAAGATGACAAGATAATGAGTCTGCAATGTGGAGCCAAGCCCTGGAGCATGGATTATGAGATGCTGGCTCAGAGGGCTACTTTCCTTTGTCTCCATAATCATTGCTCAAAATCATTCCTAAAGGGCATAGTCACACATTCAAACAAAGTTCCATTTTTTAAAAAATTCAAAATTAAATGGCAGGAAAAAATATGAATAATTTAATCACTAACATCCCAAACTCTTTTAAGTACTTTTAGTTTTTATTTTTTTTAATTTGTATCTTTTTCTTTCATTTATGTATTTTTTTTTTGAGACGGAGTCTCACTCTGTCGCCCAGGCTGGAGTGCAGTGGCGCGATCTCAGCTCACTGCAAGCTCTGCCTCCTGGGTTCATGCCATTCTCCTGCCTCAGCCTCCCAAGCAGCTGGGACTACAGGCACCCACCACCACGCCCGGCTATTTTTTTGTATTTTTAGTAGAGACGGAGTTTCACCGTGTTAGCCAGGATGGTCTTGATCTCCCGACCTCGTGATCTGCTCGCCTCAGCCTCCCAAAGTGCTGGGATTACAGGCGTGAGCCACCGCGCCCTGCCAATTTGTATCTTTCTTAATTGTATTAGGATGGCTGGCTCAAATGTTTCCTCATTTCAGTTTATATATTGCTCAGGAATATGAGTGTACTATTCTCAGGTTCTTCTATGTATGGGAAGGAGGAAACAGTTCAACTTGTCAGGTATTCTTTCTTTTTTTTTTTTTTTTTTTTTGAGATGGAGTTTCACTCTTGTTGCCCAGGCTGGAGTGTAATGGTGCAATCTTGGCTCACTGCAACCTCCGCCTCCCAGGTTCAAGTGATTCTCCTGCCTCAGCCTCCCCAGTAGCTGGGATTACAGGCACCCGCCACCACACCCAGCTAATATTTTTGTATTTTCTGTAGAGACGGACTTTCACCATGTTGACCAGGCTGGTCTTGAACTCCTGACCTCAGATGATCCACCCGCCTTGGCCTCGCAAAGTGCTGGGATTACAGGCATGGGCCACCGAGCTGGGGCAGGTATTTTTTACATATCATAGTACTCACTCATCATAACACTCCAAACCTGAAACTCCTGTACTTGACACAATATGAAATTCTTCAGGAATCAAAGTATCTGTTAGTGTCTTTGGCTTAAAAGAAAAGAAAAGCAAAATAAAAGAATGAATATATTAATAGAGAAAAAATTCACTTGCACAAATCCTAATTCCTAACCTAAAGAGATACTATTTTTTAAGTTGAAAAATTTTGATTGGAGAAATAACAATATTAGCAATGTGGGTCATAGCAAATGACAAAAACTAACCAGAGCACACATCTCTAAAATAACCATAAATTAAAGAATAACCTTGGTGCTAGTATTAGTTACATGTATCCCATATATTCAGAAGTTTATTGATTCCTTTCCTTTAAATTCAGCAGGGAATTTAAAATTCAACTTAGCAAGATACCAAAGATAAGAATCCTACAACTTTATATGTGGATTTCTAAGGGAAAAACAATATAATCTCCCACGCTGTGTTTTTTAGATTAAAACAGATTAACTGTGGTTCGCAAAATGGCTTAAAATAAGACATTTTGATCTTTTCCTGCTAAATACCCTTTTCCCATTTTAAGAAGTAATTTGAAAATGCTATGAAGATTGGTGAGCAATGCAGGTTGTTATAGTATGACGTTGTTTTATATTTTATATTTATATTAAAAATCATTTTAAAATGATTTTTAAAAGTAGACAGAGGGAGAGAAGATTATTTGTCAAATACTTTATTTACCTTATGGGGCACAATGACACCATCATGTGACTGTAATGAACGGGCCAAATGTGGGGGACAAACTGCCTTCTCCCTAGTCTGTCCTTTGGCATATGTTACATCGTACAGAAAAGAAATATCCCTAAAAAGTAAGAAAAATATATTTACAAAACAAATTTTCTATCTGGATACCACATAACAGCAGGTGAGATCCACACATATCCTTCTAATGGGTAAGATGGTCCTCTGTGTCAGCAAAACTGATCTCCTTACATAACACTTTACTAAGACTGAGGCATTAAACATGAGTTCCCCCACATTCTTTCTCTTCTCCACCTGAAATTTCTCATTCATATCACAAACTCTTTCCTTTCCTTCAGTATGAGGTTAAAATATATTCTCTTTCCTATGGCTATTCCCTCCACTTAGGTGCTTGATTCCATCTTTGCCCATATCCTCAGGAGTCTCATTCCATCAGTCCTAACTTCTGTGTATCTCCAACTCTACATCCCCTTTGACCTATAATAAACTTTTTCCCCTTCTAAAAATATTTCCTTGAACATGTATTGCTGTCATGTTGTGATTGTTATTATCATTATTATTATTTTGACACAGAGTCTCACTCTGTCGCCCAGGCTGGAGTGCAATGGCGCAAAATCTCAGCTCACTACAACCTCCACCTCCCGGATTCAAGCAATTCTCCTGCCCAGCCTCCCAAGTAGCTGGGATTACAAGCACGTGCCATCATGTCTGGCTAATTTTTTGTATTTTTAGTAGAGATGGGGTTTTGCCACGTTGGCCACGCTGGTCTCAAACTCCTGGCCTCAGGTGACCTGCCTCGGCCTTCCAAAGTGCTGGGATTACAGGCATGAGCCACCATGCCCGGCCGCTGTCATGTTATTATGATCTATCAATGGATCAATCGATTGATCTATCATCGATCACTTGTGTTAAACATCAAACTTCCTAAAATTGTCCTGCAATTTGATTTCCACCCATACCTCTCTTCTGAAACTATTTTCTAGAAAGCTGATGGTGATTACCACTGCCAAGTTAAACAATCTCTTAGCAGTTATCTTCTACCATGCTTCCCTGGAATGTTTTCCAGGGTTGATCACATTTGCAACTTTTCTGTGAGTCTTTAAATTATTTCAAAATAAGAAGTTTAATAAAACAAAATACAGAAAAGTGGAGAAAAAAATCCTCTGATAACCAAGATGTGGGCAAGTGGTCTAAGCTAGGCCAAATATACTCTTCCAGGAGACGGAATCTTGAGTCATTGACTCTTTTAAGACTTCCAGGACAGAAAACAATAGGCATTAATTCATCACTACAATGGTACCCTGAAATGATTGTCCATTACATCCTTCTATAAACTCCAAATGTATTTACTGGTTTACATAGTAAAGACTAATTCAGCATCTACTGCATACCTGGCACTGCGAGCTAAGAACACTAATAGTGAAAAAAGCAAATAAAAAGTTCCTACCCTCATGGAACTGATTCTAGTGGTGAAGAATGACAATACAGAAATATTACAATTTCAAGGCCAGTTGCAGTGGCTCATGCCTGTAACACCAGCACTTTGGGAGGCTGAAGGGGGCAGATCACTTGAGGTCAGGAGTTTGTGGCCAACCTGACCAATATGGCGAAACCCCATCTCTACTAGAAATACAAAAATTAGCCGGGCGTGGTGGTGTGTGCCTATAGTCCCAGCTGCTTGGGAGGCTGAGGCAGGAGAATCACTTGAACCTGGGAAGCAAAGGTTGCAGTGAGCTGAGATCGTGCCACTGCACTCCAGCCTGGGTGACAGAGTGAGACTCCATCTCAAAAAAAAAGAAAAAACTACATTATTAAATTTGGGTGCCCTGGGTTATAGGATTGTACATTAACGTGCCCAAAATTCATTAATTTGCTCAGCAAATATTTATTAACCATATTGTAAGTGACAGAAAATATGCTAGATGAAAGGAATATAGAACTATTTCTTAAAATAGACACAGTCCCTACCATTGGGGAGCCTTCAATATAGAGGGGAAGATTCGCAAACCAAAGAAAAGTATAATATAAAGACATTGTAACAGAGAATAGAATGTTACTGGAATAACTAATAACAACACCACCCAAATACAGTTTAGACCAAGTCAGGGAAAACTTCGGGAAGCAGTAACAATTAGTGAGAACAAGAAACTGATTTGGATTTAGGTAAGCAACCGAAAAGTGTAGAGAACAGCATATGCATAGGTCCTGAGACACAACAGCACATGGTGACTTCGGCAAACTGAAAATGTAGTATAGTTGACCCTTGAACAACACAGCCTTGAACTGTATGGGTCTGCTTATACATGAATTTTTTCAACCAAACGCTGACTGAAAATACAGTATTCACCGGATATGAAACCCTCATATACAGAGGGCCAACTTTCCATATATATACATGAGTTTCTGACTCATGTACGGCTGACTGCAGAAATTGAGTGGACACAGATTCTGGTATCTGCAGGTGTCTGGGAACCAATCCCCCACATATCCCTCAGTATGAGGGATGACTGAATATACAGTTGAAGTATGAAGAATAAAATTGTTGAAATTAGAGAACTAAACACAGAGAGCCTTGCAAATCATGCTTAACATGTTGGGCTTTAGTCTAAGAGAAGCTAGAAAGGTTTTATGGATGAAATGAAATTTTAAATTATTTTAGAATGACTATAACAGTTGCAATATTGTGAAATGGTGGGAGAGGGTGTGCTTTGAGGGCAATGCCATTTGGCAGCTGATGTGGCATGTGAGGTTGGTGGAAACAGGCCAGTTCTAGTGTCCCAGGAAGATCCTGAAATATACAACATGGACCATAACTATTTTTAAACGTATATATTGGTAGTAAAAGACATCAAGCTATTGATGTCCTGCGCTGTGATATTCTGGTTCTCTTGGATATGTACAGGGGAAAAATGTTAGAGCTGTATTTCCCAATCCTCCGGATTCTTTCTCTGTTCCACCCTCTTAGAGGTTTTACATAGTCACAAAGATCTGAATGAGCTGCTGTCAGGATGATGGAACAGCAGTTCTTATCACACCAATAAATGCTGGAGAAGTTGGCCATTACAATTGTTTTGTTAGCTAAAAATGATGAATGCTTCATGTACATATATGTGTGTGTAGATACACACATGTGCATATATTATATACATATATGTACATATATGTATGTACATATATGTGTACAGTATATACCTGTATATACATATATAATGCATATGTATACATTATACATTATATGTTATACATTATATATATTTTATATAATTAGACATATATTATACACACAATATTTTATGCACATATACACAAACATATAATTAAAGAATATGTTGGGGCCGGGCATGGTGGCTCGCGCCTATAATCCTAGTATTTTAGGGGGCCAAGATGGGCGGATCACCTGAGGTCAAGTGTTCAAAACCAGCCTAGCCAATATAGTGAAACACCATCGCTATTAAAAATAAAGTTAAAAAACTAGCCAGATGTGGTGGCAGGCACCTGTCATCCCAGCTACTCGGGAGGCTGAGGCAGGAGAATCGCTTGAACTTGGGAGGCAGAGGTTGCAGTGAGCCAAGATCACACCACTACACTCCAGCCTGGATGACAGAGCAAGATTCCATCTTAAAAAAAATTTTTTTTTTATTAATAAAGAATATTTTGATTTAGTAATCATCACTCAAATTCTCTCAAGAACCTACTTTAGCAGCCTTTTGTATTTTTTTAATTTTTAAAAATAATTTATTTTATTTATTTATTTTTTAAATTATACTTTAAGTTCTAGGGTACATGTGCACAATGTGCAGGTTTGTTACATACATATACATGTGCCATGTTGGTGTGCTGCACCCCCCATTAACTCATCATTTACATTAGGTATTCCTCCTAATGTTATCCCTCCCCCCTCCCCCCATCCCACGACAGGCCCCGGTGTGTGATGTTCCCCACCCTGTGTCCAGGTGTTCTCATTGTTCAATTCCCACCTATGAGTGAGAACATGCAGTATTTGGTTTTCTGTCCTTGTGATAGTTTGCTCAGAATGACGGTTTCCAGCTTCATCCATGTCCCTACAAACGACATGAACTCATCCTTTTTTACGGCTACAAAGTATTCCATGGTTTATATGTGCCACATTTTCTTAATCCAGTCTATCACTGATGGACATTTGGGTTGGTTCCAAGTCTTTGCTATTGTGAATAGTGCCGCAATAAACATATGTGTGCATGTGTCTTTATAGTAGCATGATGTATAATCCTTTGGGTATATACTCAGTAATGGGATTGCTGGGTCAAGTGGTATTTCTAGTTCTAGATCCTTGAGGAATCACCACACTGTCTTCCACAATGGTTGAACTAGTTTATCCTCCCACCAACAGTGTAAAAGCGTTCCTATTTCTCCACATCCTCTCCAGCACCTGTTGTTTCCTGACTTTTGAATGATCGCCATTCTAACTGGTGTGAGATGGTATCTCATTGTGGTTTTGATTTGCATTTCTCTGATGGCCAACGATGATGAGCATTTTTTCATGTGTCTGTTGGCTGCATGAATATCTTCTTTTGAGAAGTGTCTGTTTGTATCCTTTGCCCACTTTTTGAAGGGGTTGTTTTTTTCTTGTAAATTTGTTTGAGTTCTTTGTAGATTCTGGATATTAGCACTTTGTCAGATGGGTAGATTGCAAAAATTTTCTCCCATTCTGTAGGTTGCCTGTTCACTCTGATGGTAATTTTTTTTTGCTGTGCAGAAGCTCTTTAGTTTAATTAGATACCATTTGTCAATTTTGGTTTTTGTTACCATTGCTTTTGGTGTTTTAGACATGAAGTCCTTGCCCATGCCTATGCCCTGAATGGTATTGCCTTGGTTTTCTTCTAGGGTTTTTATGGTTTTAGGTCTAACATTTAAGTCTTTAATCCATCTTGAATTAATTTTTGTATAAGGTGTAAGGAAGGGATCCAGTTTCAGCTTTCTACATATGGCTAGCCAGTTTTCCCAGCACCATTTATTAAATAGGGAATCCTTTCTCCATTGCTTGTTTTTGTCAGGTTTGTCAAAGATCAGATGGTTGTAAATGTGTGGTGTTATTTCGGAGGCCTCTGTTCTGTTCCGTTGGTCTATATATCTGTTTTGATACCAGTACCATGCTGTTTTGGTTACTGTAGCCTTGTAGTATAGTTTGAAGTCAGGTAGCGTGATGCCTCCAGCTTTGTTCTTTTTGCTTAGGCTTGTCTTGGCTCTGTGGGCTCTTTTTTGGTTCCGTATGAAATTTAAAATAGATTTTTCCAATTCTGTGAAGAAAGTGAGTGGCAACTTGGTGGGGATAGCATTGAATCTACAAATTACCTTGGGCAGTATGGCCATTTTCACGATATTGATTCTTCCTATCCATGAGCATGGAATATTCTTCCATTTGTTTGTGTTCTCTTTTATTTCGTTGAGCAGTGGTTTGTAGTTCTCCTTGAAGAGGTCCTTCACATTCCTTGTAAGTTGGATTCCTAGGTATTTTATTCTCTTTGAAACAATTGTGAATGGGAGTTCACTCATGATTTGGAGGAGCCTTTTGTATTTCTATACATTATTAAAGTACTGGGTATTGTTATGGTTTGAATGTGTCCCTTAGAAATTCATGTGTTGGAAATGTAATTGCCATTTTAATAGTATCATTATGAAGTGGAACCTTTAAGAGGTGATTGTGTTATTGATTTTTAGAAGAAGCCTGTTTTATTTACTTGTTGAAATATAATTTTTTATTAAAAATAATTAGAGGGCCAGGCGTGGTAGCTCACGCCTATAATCCCAGCACTTTGAGAGGCCGAGGCGGGTGGATCACCTGAGGTCAGGAGTTTGAGACCAGCCTGACCAACATGGAGAAACCCGGTCTCTAATAAAAATACAAAATTAGCTGGGCATGGTGGTGCATGCCTGTAGTCCCAGCTACGTCAGAGGCTGAGGCAGGAGAATCACTTGAACCCGGGAGGCAGAGGTTGTGGTGAGCCGAGACTGCGCCATTGCACTCCAGCCTGGGCAACAGGAGCAAAACTCCATCTCTCAAAAATAATAATAATAATAATTAGAGATATGTTTTGTTTCTTCATAAAATTCTATGGTAAAACACCCGCTTCCACTCTTCTGGAAAATCTATTTTTATTTAAAAAAACAAAAAACAAAACAAAACAACTTTGATTCTTAATCATAACATAATAACTGGATTTTATTTATTTGTCTTTAAGAAATTCTCCAACTCGTTCTTCAGCCCCCAGATTATTAACTGAGTTCATAATTCAAGCTCTTCTTCAAATCATCATTGGTTGAGTTATGTCTATCTATAAACATGTCTTTTATCTGAAGATGTCAATGTCACCCTGTTCTGGGAGTTATTCGCACAGGTACTTCCTCATACCAGCTCCTTTAGCCCTTCCAACAATTTTGTAAATACCCAATGTTCTGCATTTGATTCTTTCCTGCTTAAAATATCTAGACTGATTTATTTTCTGCACTGAACTCTGCTGAAAGAGTTGTCGAAAAATATTACTCGAGAATATTTGCTTTGCTGTTTTATATTTTACTGCTGGGTTCTGGGTGATTGAGGTTGCTGGACAAGTTATCTCGTTATGCATACTATTAGTTGTGCATTTGTGCATTAGTTTTCTATTGGTGCCATAACAAATTACCACAAATTTAGCATCTTAAACAACATAAATTTATTATCTTACTGCTCTGTAGGTCAGAAGTCCAACAGGGTCTCAAAAGGCTAAAATCAAGGCATTGGCAGGACTGTGTTTCTTTCTGGATGCTCTAGAGGAAGATCCAATTCTATGCTCATTTGGGTTGTTAACAGAATTCAGTTCTTTAAAGTTGTAAGACTGCAATCCCTGTTCCCTTGACAGTTGGCGACTGAGCTGTCATTAGAATTCCTAACTTCTAGTAGCCAAATTCATTTCTTGGCTGCTTTTCCCCTTCCTCCTTCTTCAAAGCCAGCAATGTCAGGCTGAACTCTCACAAGTCAAAGCTGTCCTCTTCCTTTCTCATCTCTCTGACCCACTTGACTGCCTTCCTTTTCCACTTTTAAAGATTCAGGTGATTAGGCTGGGCCCACCCTGACAATCTAAGATAATCTATCCATTTCAATGTCCTTACTTTCATCATATCTGTAAAGTCCCTTTTCCCAGGTGAGGTATGTATTCACAGGTTCTGAGACTACAGTGAAAATGTTTTCGTGGGGTTGAGGGGGCATTATCCTGTCAACCTGACTTCACACTTAAAAAACTCCAACTCAGAGTCATTTGACATTAAAACTTTATTTTTTGTTTTGTTTTGTTTTGAGAGGGAGTCTCGCTGGGTCGCCCAGGCTGGAGTGCAATGGCACAATCTCAGCTCACTGCAACCTCCACCTCCTGGATTCAAGCAATTCTCCTGCGTTAGCCTCCCAAGTAGCTGGGATTACAGGTGTGCGCCACCACGCCTGGCTAATTTTTGTATTTTTTGTAGTGACAGGGTTTCACCATGTTGCCCAGACTAGTCTCGAACTCCTGACCTCAAATGATCTGCCCACCTCGGCCTCCCAAAGTGCTGGGATTACAGGAATGAGCCACTGCACCTGGCCAACATTAAAACTGTAATGTCAGCTTAGTGCCACATTCAGATATAGCTAATTAATTTTCAAAGTACTTCAAACAACTCATAATACTAATTATTGCTACCAATAATTATAACCATGATCCGGAGGCATAGAATAAAATATAAAGCCTCAGTACATAAAAATCAATAGGACAAGTTTCTACCACTTTTCCTTGCACTGAAGCATAGCTGAGTAATAGCACCTATACTTAAATAGCACATTATAGTTTTACAAGTGCTCTTGCATCTATTATCTTATTTGTGCTTTACAATATCCCTGGGAGGCACACAAAACTGGCCCAGCCTATTATTCCCTTTTTACATATGAGAAAATGGGGCTTCAGAAAGACTAAATAACCTACTCAAGTATGTTAAGTGTAAACATTTGTTTCAGTAGAAGGGACATTTAAGTGAGGGCGCATGCATGGAGTAAATTGATAAGTGGACAATACATAGAAAACTAGCAGGTCTCAATCTTCACAGGGAAAATGTTGACCCACTTGACCGCCTTAGAATGACTTAGAATGTTTGTAGGAATGAGACAAAAACAAATAGTATTTGCTGACTTGATCTGAAACAGTGTAAAGATTAAGGGCTCCCTTTGGAGAGATCCAGAAATTAAGCTTTTGTTTTTCAAGGTTTTCCACATCATGAAGCTATGTTACCTAGTTCTTTCTTCTAAAGATGTCCACAAAGAAGACATACACACAGATAAAAGGAGCACTAAAGGCATTCTGCCTGTTGGATCTTGTCCCTTTTACTAGGGTACAACAGGGAATAGGAGAGTATAGGGACAAGTATACAAAGGCATGCAAAAAGCAAATTTAAACCAAAAATATGTAAAGCCAGCACCTATTTCCATCCTACTGATAATAATCACACACAAAAAGATGGTCTTTGGCCCTTCTGGATTGTATTCTGATTCAAAGATACTGTAAATTTTATCATCTATGATTCAGTGATTTTTCTAATTCTGCCCCTCCCAAGGTAATCATTCAAAATGAGAAAACAACTCTATTTATCAGCATCTATCCTACTATCTTCCTTCTTTACCTTCCAGCTCCTGTGAGGGAGACGGGATGGTCAATCAGGTATTTGAATTTATTCCTTCGAACAGGGTGATGCCAGACATGGTCTACAAGGCGTGGAAGAGTGCCCTGGGAAAAAGCAAATACACATGAATATCCAGCAGAGGGCGATCTAATCAAATAAAATGTATTAATAGTTTTGAGTAAGTACTGTATTTACATTAAGGGCACTTGGGTACTCTAAGGAAAAAAGAGAGCAGAATTCTTATTAAATGACATAAAGACTAAAACTAGAATAATTCTATAGTGAGTGAAAAACATTAAGGGTAGCAATTATCATTTTAGTAAATCCACATAAAAACAGGTCAATGGAAATACTCAAGCCTTGGAAACAATTTATACAAAAGACTGGAGTTTTCAATCTAAGAAATTATTTTAAATTTTTTTTTTTTGAGACAGAGTCTTGCTCTGTGGTCCAGGCTGGAGGGCAATGGCGCAATCTCGGCTCACTGCAACCTCTGCCTCCCGGGTTCAAGTGATTCTCCTGCCTCAGCCTCCCGAGTAGCTGGGACTATAGGCGCATGCCACTATGCCCAGCTAATTTTTGTATTTTTAGTAGAGACAGGGTTTCATGATGTTGGCCAGGATGGTTGATCTCCTGACCTCGTGATCTGCCTGCCTCAGCCTCCCAAAGTGCTGGGATTACAGCCTAAAAAAATTTTTTAAGGCCAGGCATGTTGGCTCACACTTGAAATTCCAGCACTTTGGGAGGCTAAGGCGGGTGGATTGCTTGAGCCCAGGAATTTGAGACCAGCATAGGCAACATGGCGAAACTCCGTCTCTATGAAAAATACAAAAATTAGCCAGGTGTGGTGGCACAGACCTGTAGTCCCAGCTACTCAGGAAGCTGAGGTGGGAGGATCACCTGAGCCAGGGTAGTCGAGGCTGCAGTGAGCAATGATCAGGCCACTACTCTCCAGCCTGGGCCACAGTAGTAAGACCCTGTCTCAATCAATCTTAAAATTTTTAAGGCTATCTGGAATATATAATATGTGCATAATAAATACTTAAAGAATAATCAGATGCCCAAAAAATAATGTTCCCCATTACTCTACATATGTACATACAAACCTTTGGGGTTTTAATTTTCTTAGGAGGTAGTAAGTTTTCAGGACAAGGACCAGCATTGGCCGCATAGGTCAGAGAAAGAAGAACTTCTTTGGGAATGAACTCATTCTGAAGGGAAGTAGGAAGGAGTTTTGAACGATCCACCATATTTTTTTTCTCCTTTAGCTCAGGAAGTCCTAAGTAAGTAGTGGAAAAGAAAAACTCTTACTATATATTTTTTTAAGTTAGATGGAGCTTCTCAGACTGCCTCATCAATCCCATCTGTTTCTAACAGAGAGAAACATTGCTTCTATTTGACAAAGATAGTAACAAATAATATTGAAAACAGTGAACATCATCTAGTCAAGGAAAATAACATTCATCTTGCCTACCCTACTCACATTACATCAGACACAGTTTCAAAAACTCAGGTACCAAGATGAACCTGCATGATTCTCAATTCAAAGTTGAAAACTAAACTCATTTCACTTGCTCAGGTAACTGGGAGAGCCTTAAGAAGACAGGAATGAATGTCTATTTTCCCTTTCATATGAAAATCACAAATCTCTCCCCCCAAGCTGTCAAATTATTTAGTAATTTTTTTCTTACATGAATTCAAAGGTGAGAATAATTGCATTAAATCGAGGCATTTATAGAGTGGAAAGGCTCTGGGTTGGGCTTAAAAGTAAAGATGGAACTGGGATTGTTGCAAATGAGAGTGGAACAATCTGAGCTGACAAATCTGTGGAATGGGAACTGTAAAAAGAGTGTTCTACCCTGCTTGACTAGGGCAGGGGAGTAATAAAGGCAGGTAGTTGGGATAATGTAGGAAAAGCCCTCCTATGAAGTCAGTCAGGTAGGGTTGAGTTGTTATTCTTCTTAATCTATGCCTGTAACATGGTATGGTTTATGTTTATTTCTATAAGGAGGTATCATGCTTTGATTACTATCAAAAGTTGTTAGGGTTTACATTACCAAATCTCCTGAGAGCTTGAGATCAAAAGAAACAGAAGAAAAAAAAAAAAGTTGGGTGGGGCTTGGGGTTTTAGTACAAGGTGCAGGTGAGATGGGAAAAGCTTTAACAGAACCGGGTAAGGATAACACTAGCTGACTCTAGTACAGATCCGCATATGAACGAAAATCTTAAGGAATTGCTCTCATTTAGAAAAATTACTAAAAGCTAATACAAATTGGCACATTGTACTAAATTGAGTTTCTCTTATCTCTGCTATTACTTTTTGTTTCTTTATTTACTTATTTGAGACCAAGTCTACCTCTGTTGCCCAGGCTAGAGTGCAGTGGCAAGATCTTGGCTCACTGCAACCTCTGCCTCCCGGGTTCAAGTGATTCTCCTGCCTCAGCCTGCCGAGTAGCTGGGATTACAGGCGAGTGCCACCACACCAGGCTAAATTTTGTATTTTTAGTAGAGACCGGGTTTCACCACGTTGGTCAGGCTGGTCTCAAACTCCTGACCTCGTGATTTGAGACGGAGTCTCGTTCTGTCGCCAGGCTGGAGTGCAGTGGCGCAATCTCGGCTCACTGCAACCTCCACCTCCCGGGTTCAAGCGATTCTCCTGCCTCAGCCTCCTGAGTAGCTGGGACTACAGGCACGAGCCACCACGCCCCCCCTAATTTTTGTATTTTTAGTAGACAGAGTTTCTCCATGTTGGCCAGAATGGTCTCAATCTCTTGACCTCGTGATCCGCCAGCCTCAGCCTCCCAAATGGGATTACAGGTGTGAGCCACTGTGCCCGGCCTATTTATTTATTTATTTTGAGATGGGGTCTTGCTCTTGTCTCCCAGACTGGAATGCAATGGCTCGATCCTGGCTCACTGCAACCTCACCTCCTGGGTTCAAGCGATTCTCTTGCCTCAGCCTCCAGAGTAAGCTGGGACTACAGGCGCGAGCCACCATGCCCGGCTAATTTTTGTATTTCTAGTAGAGACGGGATTTCATCATATTTGGCCAGGCTGGTCTCGAACTCCTGACCTCAAGTGATCCGCCCACCTCGGCCTCCCAAAGTGCTGGGATTACAGGCGTGAGCCACCGCGCCCTGCCTCACTATTACTTTTTCCAAAGTTCCTTAAAGCCAAAGACCAGGAACCAAAAAATACGTAACTATTGATATTTAAAATAGGTTGAATTTAAAATCATATATAAATCAACATTTGAAAAAAAGTATAAACTGTATTTAGATGGAGTAGTGAAACAGTACTCTGACTCAAAATACTGTAAAAGGAATGACTTCTTGCTTTATTTAAGCAAGTGTGTTAGAAAAATGTAGCCAATCAAGGTATTCTGAATATCAGATTTAAAAAACCGGTGAATGGAAGGTGATTTCTGTCTTACGGCCATGACTGTTTATGACTTCAGAATCAACGAAGTTTACCTCTTGTCCCTTCCTTGGCTACAGACACTTTTAACTTTTTGCTCTCAGATGTTGATGTAGAGTTTAGCGGGGTGGAGGGCGTTTTCGGGAGAGACATAATAAACAATGCCTCCTATCTCTTTAGTAATTTGAAATAGTCCTCCGGAAAGCTAATTTAGACACAAATCAGCGCCGCACTGGGACTTGCAGGCTGCCACATAGTCCTGCAGGCAGAGGAAAAAAGATTTAAAAAAAAAAAAAAAGATGACAACTATTGAGTACTTAGGTTCAGATCGCAGTTTAGAATTCATCTAGCATGGTTCTCCTTCTTCGGGGCGACCTCTATGTTCTGGGGTTATGTGTAGCGACTAAGAAGCCTTAGTGGACCGTCAGGTCGGGGTCAAGGAGCAGGGCAGGAAGGACCCGCTCGGCGGACCCCGCAGACCGCCGGCACCCCTGGTGGGGGACACTCGCTGCAGGCGGCTCGGCTGGGGACCATACCTTCCCCACAGGCAGCGCTCTCGCGCGCCAGTTCCACAAACTCGCGAGTTGGGCAGGCCTCGCACTGCTTCTTGGTTTAAAATGACGGGAAAGGGACACCCGCGATCCTACCCACACATTGCGTACCCGCCCAGCATCCGCTCACTTCCTCCTTTGCTGGAACGCCTGTTTGTCGTCATAGAAACCCAGGGCCCCGAGGTTTAGCGCCCTCCATAGGGGCTGCCTTCAGCGGTGCCGGCGGAGGAGGGAGACAGCTAAGACAATCCCTACACCCTCTTGGAGTTTCTTATGTTCTAAGTCACAGCATAGGTTCAGTAGCAAAGGAGAAGAAAAACGTTTAATCCCGCCGTTGTCACGGAATCCGAAAGTGTCTCACGCCGGGGCTTCCTGCCGCGGGCCAGGCCAGTGCGCAGGCGCCGGTGGGGGTTAGCTCGAGGGGCCGACCCCTGTAGCCCGTGACGCACGCGGGTTAAGCAAGGGTCTTCTGAGTTGTTTCCATCTTTCTAGCTCTCTTTTTTGTTGCTTTGCATATTTTTCTTTCTCTTTCTTCCTCTTTTTCTTTCTTTCTCTTTTTTTCCCCTGAGACGGAATTTCCCTCTTGTCGCCCAGGCTGGAGTTTAATGGTGCGATCTCGGCTCACTGCAACCTCCACCTCCTGGGTTCAAGCAATTCTCCTGCCTCAGCCTCCCAAGCAGCTGGGACTACAGGCAGACGCCACCATGCCCGGCTAATTTTGTAGTTTGTTTTTTGTTTTGTTTTGTTTGAGACGGAGTCTCGTTCTGTCGCGCTGGCTGGAGTGCAATGGTGCGATCTCAGCTCACTGCCACCTCCGCCTCCCAGGTTCAAGCGATTCTCCTGCCTCAGCCTCCCGAGGGACTACAGGCGGGGGCCACCATGCCCGGCTAATTTTTGTATTTTTAGTAGAGACGGGGTTTCACCATATTGGCCAGGCTGGTCTCAAACTCCTGACCGCGCCCGCCTCGGCCTTCCAAAGTGCTGGGATCATAGGCGTGAGCCACTGCGCCCGGACGCTTTGCATATTTTTCTAAAAGCCAGACTCAGGGGGATGTTGGGTAATAAGAAACGCTGGGTCCCTTATTGGGTAAGCCGTCCAGTGCTTTACATTTCGGTCACGTCTTCCTTGGACCCTTAAATGCCTCCCCCCAGAGCACAAGGAAGGCCTCCTGGGCCCAGATTTTTCACCCCCTTGGGGCAGGGAAGGAGGATTGAGCTTAGGTGGAACCAGCTCAGGTATAATTGTCGGGGCTTCTGGCGTGAAAATCTGCCCTCAGGAAAGAATACCATCAGCGGCCGGTGGCTCACGCCTGTAATCCCAGCACTTTCTTAGGCCGAGGCGGGTGGATCACGAGGTCAGGAGTTCGAGACCAGCCTGACCAACATGGTGAAACCCCGTCTCTACTAAAAACACAAAAATTAGCCAAGAGAGGTGGCGCGCGCCTGTAATCCCAGCTACTCAGGAGGTTGAAGCAGGAGATTCGCTTGAACCGGGGAGGAAAGGGTTGCGGTGAGCCGAGATGGCGCCACCGCACTCCAGCCTGGGCAACAGAACGAGACTCCGTCTCAAAAAAAAAAAGAGTATCATCAGAGCCTTCGCACTGAACTGAGGCTCGGTTCGGTGAGGGATCATTTCTTTTCTTTTCTTTTTTGAGACGGAGTTTCACTCTTGTTGCCCAGGCTGGAGTGCAATGGCTCGATCTCGGCTCACCGCAACCTCCGCCTCCCAGGTTCAAGCGATTCTCCTGCCTCAGCCTCCCTAGTAGCTGGGATTACAGGCATGCGCCACCACGCCCAGCTAAATTTGTGTTTTTAGTAGAGACGGGGTTTCTCCATGTTGGTCAGGCTGGTCTCGAACTCCCGACCTCAGGTGATCCACCCGCCGCGGCCTCCCAAAGTGCCGGGATTACAGGCATGAGCCGGATCGTTTCATATTAAGGCAGAGATTTAGTGCCAAATAATGAATCGCTGGGAGAAGCCCAGCGTCTAGTTGCTTCCAGACAGGGAGGAAACTTTATCTTATTCAATCACCATATTCCTTAGCACCAAGTAGAGTGCCTGGACAAACATGAAAATCAGTTGGACAGTTCTCTTCTGTGTTGACAGAATTACGGCTATTTTCTGGTTTTGAGTGTAATAGCTGTGAGAAATTCGAGCAAAGGGTTCAAAACAAGTCTACATGGTCCCTTTGAACTCTTCCGATCAAACATGTTGGGTGTGTTAGCATTTTAGCCTTTAGCCTTATCTCCCATTACCCTAATTTTTCAAAGAATTAAAATACACATAATAGCATTATAGAGCACACAAAATTATCCATCTTTTGTATTCTTAACCTAGTTCAAAAAAATCCAAGTACAGTATTAAGAAAGCAGATAGAAATAAGTGAACACATTCTAGAAAAACACATAAAGTATAATCTAAAGGATTTAGGAAGTGATTAGATCTGTGAGACATCAAAGGTCTCTTTTCTGTCTTGTGCTGTGGTATGGTGATCATACATAATGTCAGAGGAGTTTGAACCATAGCAACTCCATCTTGAATAGGCACTGGGTAAAATAAGGCTGAAACCTACTTGGCTGCGTTCCCAGATGGTTAAGGCATTCTAAGTCACAGGATGAGATAGCAAGTCATAAAGACCTTGCTGATAAAACAGGTCGCAGTAAAGAAGCCGGCTAAAACCCACCAAAACCTAGATGGCCACGAGAGTGACCTCTGGCCGTCCTCACTGCTATACTCCCACCAGCGCCATGACAGTTTACAAATACCATGGGAATGTCGGGAAGTTACCCTTTATGGTCTGAAAAGGGGAAGAATGAATAATCCACCCCTTGTTTAGCATATCATCAAGAAATAACCATAAAAATGGGTAACCAGCAACCCTCAGGGCTGCTCTATGGAGTAGCCATTCTTTTTTTCTTTATTTTCCTAATAAACTTGCTTTGCACTGTGGACTCGCCCTGAATTCTTTCTTGTGCAAGATCTAAAAACTCTCTCTTGGGGTCTGAATCTGAACCCCATTTCCTGTAACAATACAATTTACTAAGACTGGAAACAAAGGAGGAAGACCAGATTTGGAGGAGGGCTTTGGAGAAGGATACGTTTAGGACTGTGGATATATTAAGTTTGCAGTAAGATTGAGATATCTGGATGGGAATGAAAAGTAACTATTTGATTATACATTAATACATGGGTATGAAGCTCTCGGCAAAGGCCTACGTTAAAGTTGAACGGATGAGGCAGGGCGTGGTGGCTCATGCCTGTAATCCCAGCACTTTGGGAGGCTGAGGTGGGCAGATCATTTGAGGTCAGATAGAGACCAGCCTGATCAACATGGTGAAACCCTGTCTCTACCAAATACAAATACCAAATACAAAAATTAGCCTGGCCTGGTGGCACATGCCTGTAGTCCCAGCTACTCAGGAGGCTGAGGCAGGAGAATCGCTTGAACCCGGGAGGTGGAGGTTGCAGCACCATCGCACTCCATTCTGGGCGACAAGAGTGAAACTCCCTCTCAAAAAAAAAAAAAAAGTTGGATGAATGGCTGGGTGTGGTGGCTCAAGCCGGAGTCATCCCAGCACTTTGAGAGGCTTAGGCTAGAGGATGGCTTGAGGCCAGGAATTCGAGACCAGCTTGGACAACGTGGCAAGACCCCATCTCTACAAAACAAAAAGAAAAAAGTTAATAGATGAGGCATAAACAAAAACAATACAATAAGACTATAACTATCAAAAAATACAATTGCTACTTATAAGGTAACTCCTCTCCTAATTTTTAATTATACCAAGAGAATCCTAAAATGGAGTAAAGTAAAATACTATTAAGGTCTTTGATGGAAAATACCATAGCAAAATGTAAGCTGAGTAGGTAAGAATCTTCCTAAACAGAAAACCTCAAGATGTGTAAAAGTGATGGTCAGAGTCGATTTTTTTTTTTTTTTCTTGAGATGGAGTCTCGCTCTGTCACCCAGGCTGGAGTGCAGTGGCGTGATTTTGGCTCACTGCAACCTCTGCCTCCTGGGTTCAAACGATTCTCTGGAGCCTCGGCCTCCTGAGTAGCTGGGATTACAGGCACCCGCCACCATGCCCAGCTAATTTTTATATTTTTAGTAGAGAGGGGATTTCACCATGTTGGCCAGGCTAGTCTTGAACTCCTGACCTCAGGTGATCTGCCCGCCTTGGCCTCCCAAAGTGGTGGGAATACAGGCATGAGCCACCATGCCTGGCCTATCAACTCATTTTCTAACTGTGTGGTCAGGGATTTATAAACACATCTGCAGGCACTTAGAGCATGCAAAGCTCCCTAAAGGAATCTGCAGGGGAAGTGGGCCAGTGTTTGTATTTAATGTAGCTAAAAAAAGAAGGTACCAATTAGAAACTTCCATTTTTTTTCTTCCTATTATTTTTAACAGAGTCTCACTCTGTCACTCAGGCTGGAGTGCAGCGGTGCAATCTAGGCTCACCACCTCTCAGGTTCAAGCAATTCTCCTGCCTCAGCCCCCTGAATAGCTGGGATTACAGGCACGTGCCACCATGCCCTGCTAATTTTTGTATTTTTAGTAGAGTTGGGGTTTCACCATGTTGGCCAGGCTGGTCTCAAACTCCTGACCTCAAGTGATAAGCCCACCTCAGCCTCCCAAAGTGCTGGGATCACAGGTGTGAGCCACCACACAGGGCCTCCAGTTAGCAACTTTTAAAAGCAGACACTGAGAAGGAAATCTAAGCACTACTCAGCCAAACACTTTCCAAGGGAAAGAGTAGCTTCTAGTATTGCTTCCACACAAGAAGGGCATCCCTAAAACTGAATGATGTCTGACTTTATCATTCAGTTCACACACGGGCATGCCTACAGGAAGAAATATGCTTTTGTATTGTTCATGTGTCTTCAGTGCATGGCATAGTATCTGACAAATGATTATGCAGTCTGTGAGAATAAATTCATCTTTCTCATTGTACACTAAGTTGGGCTTCTACAGAGCAAATTCAATGATCATGCCAACCTTGAGGATGCTACTGAGTGATTTCTCATAGTAAATTTACCAAGTTATATGTTTTATAAATCAGATGCATGAATTTGGTTGAGTCCAAATGATAGTTATCCAAGCCTAAAGTGACACAACTCTACGCTTTCATAAATTCATCAGAAAAAATTCCAACACTATGGCTTTGCCCCTAGCAGCAATGAACAACAGCCACTGGGTCCAAGAAACAGGGGCAGAGTTAACTTCTGAAAGGATTTCCCCTTTCCCACTCCTTTGGCACTGCAGAGCCAGGTGGGTATAGCTAGATCATCAAGAGTAACTGGAGAGTATTCCTTGACTGTTGCTATCATATGTGCTTCCACCAACAAAGTGTTGCAATGTCAAGTATTCCTCATAATAGGCTCCTATTACGAGTAGATTCTTTGGAGAAAGGGCATCTTCATCTGAGCTGCCATAACAGAATACCTGGGACTGGGTACTTTATAAAGAAGAGAAATTTGGCTGAGTGCAGTGGCTCATGCCTGTAATCCCAGCACTTTGGTAGGCTGAGGCGGGTTGATCACTTGAGGTCAGGAGTTCAAGACCATACTGGCCAACATGGTGAAACCCCGTCTCTACTAAAAATACAAAAACTAGCTGGGCATGGTGGCCGGTGCCTGTAATCCCAGCTACTCAGGAGGCTGAGGCAGGAGAATCATGTAAAGCTGGGAGGCGGAGGCTGCAGTGAGCCCACATCACGCCACACACTCCAGCCTGGGTGACAGAACGAGACACTGTCTCCAAAAAGTAGGCTCTGCCTCAGTAACAGCACATTGGCAATACCTGAATTTTGGAGGAGACACATTCAAACGATAGCAGGAGGAAGCAACCCTATCTTGCTCCAAAACTGGTTTCCCTTAGTCTTAAGAGGCATACCTCCTAGCCAACCGCTTTTCACCTTTCATTAAAAACCTAAAGTCCATTTCTACCCATCAGAGGTAGAGCAATGCTTTCTTAGATACCTTCACAGGTTTTTGTTTTGTTTTTGAGACGGAGTCTCACTCTGCCGCCCAGGCTGAAGTGCAGAAGCACGATCTTGGCTCACTGTAACCTCCACCTCCCAGATTCAAGCGATTCTCATGCCTCTGCCACCCAAGTAGCTGGGATTACAGGTGTGCGCCACCAAGCCCAGCTGATTTTTGTATTTTTAATAGAGACAGGGTTTTATCATGTTGGCCAGGCTGGTCTGGAACACCCAAGCTCAAGTGATCCACCTGCCTCAGCCTCCCAAAGTGCTGGGATTACAGGTGTAAGAAACCACACCAGGCCCCTTCACAGGTTTTAAAAGGCCAAGAGCAAAAGGAATTAAGCAACAAATAACGGCCTCAAGAGAGAGAGGCAGCAGAAGAGTCACTGTCACTGCATTTCTTGATGCAAATACAAAGTCACAATTGGGCCCCACAATTTATTTGTAACCTTTAACACAGTTCCCCTTCATTAGACTGGACAAGAAAGTCCTAGTCAGTTGTTTGCCTTCTCTTTTGGCTATATTCAGCATATAAAGTTGCCTGGTATCAAGATGAACAGCATTTATGAACATGAACCATAGAGTTAATACTAAATACACTTGAAGTTACTTTTAAAAGAGACTTGGTTTCTGGCCGGGTGCAGTGGCTCATGCCTCTATTCCAGCACTTTGGGAGGCCGAGGCAGGTGAATGACCTGAGGTCAGGAGTTCAAGACCAGCCTGGGCAATATGGCGAAACTCCATCTCTACTAAAAAATACAAAAATTAGCCAGACATGTGATGTGTGCCTGTAATCCCAGCTACTGGGGAGGCTGAGGCAGGAGAATCACTTGAACCTAGGAGGGGGAGGTTGCAGTAAGCTGAGATCACACCACTGTACTCTGGCCTAGGCAACAGAATGAGACTGTCTCAAAGACATAAAAAAATAAAAAATAGACTAGGTTTCTTCCAAATATATTTATCACATTTACATGTGCAGTATTTTGCCTTTTTTGTATATTTTTAAGTTAAAAAAAAATTTTTTTTTGAGATGGAATCTCGCTCTGTTACCCAGGCTGGAGTGCAGTGGCGCGATCTCGGCTCAATGCAACCTCTGCCTCCCGGATTCAAGCAATTCTCCTGCCTCAGCCTCCCAAGTAGCTGGGATTACAGATATGTGCCACCATGCCTGGCTAATTTTTTTGTATTTTTAGTAAAGACGAGGTTTCACCATATTGGCCAGGCTGGTCTCGAACTCCTGACCTTGTGATCCACCCACCTCAACCTCCCAAAGTGCTGGGATTACAGGCGTGAGCTACTGCGCCCGGCCTAAAAATTTTTAAGTTAATGCTAATACAACTCATACTAAACAAAGTATTGGTACCAGTGATCAGACAAGGACTTGCAGGGGGCAGAGGGAATAGCAATTCAGGAAAGTAACATACAAGAATGAATCAGAAAAGACATCTTTCACTATAGAAAAACCTTTAATAACAACTTCAGATTTACATGACCCTTCTGGTGCTCAGAACACTATGGATTAACACACACACTGGAAAGATACAGACACAGGAATCTGCTGCATTACCCCAAATGGCAAAGTCTTGACTGGGGCTTCAGCTCCTTTCCCAATCCAAAATTGGCACCTTTTTCCATGGAAATTCAAACTGCATCTCTAAATGATGGGGTACATGAACTGTCTGTTTCAAAAGTATTTAAAAACAAACAGGAAGTACAGCTTCCATTTCATTAAGAAAACACCACCACAAGACATGGTGCAGTATCTACTAGCTTAAAGTTTATCACTCCATTAGGGCTTATTGACAGCAGAAATGTGAATGTAGTAATGTAGAAATAAGGAAGAGAGCACTTAAGAAAAAAACAGTACAGAAGTTTTAGAGTTTTTTAAACTTTAATAATATGCTTGACTAATATAGTCAAAAGTGATATGCACTCGTGAAATTAACCCATTTTCTGAAGTCCAAATTAGCTATTAAAGTCTTTTTTTACCAAAAACATATAAGGATTTAGTACACTATATAGATTACATAGCTTTCCTACCAACCTAAAGCTTATCAACTTTATTATTGTCTACTGATTTTCAAACTAGGCATTAAATTTAGGGTGAGAAAGAAGTGATACACTCTGTTTCAACTAGGGTGGTTGCATATTATCCTCTCTTTAAACCGGGCTTATATGTAATTTTTTTTTTGAGACAGGGTCTCGCTCTGTTGCCCATGGCTCTGAAATGGAGGGAACTGGGACATAAATGTTTTGAGGAATTAAGTGGTGTGATCACAGGTCACAGGTCACTGAAGCCTCCATCTCCCGGCTTGAAGCCATCTTCCCACCTCAGCCGACTGAGTAGCTGAGACTACAGGCGTGCACCACCACGCCTGGCTAATTTTTGTATTTTTTATAGTGACAAGGTTTTGCTATGTTGCCCAGGCTGGTCTCAAACTTCTGAGCTCAAGCAATCCTCCTGCCTTGGCCTCCCAAAGTACTGGGATTAAAGGCATGAGCCACTACACCCAGCGATATGTAACATTTTATTTCAACAGAGGGCCAACACTGTATTACCTGACAGAAACTTTAATAATGATACAAAAGTCAAATCCTTATATAAACTTCACCCAAAACATTCACTTTGGCCGGGAGCATGGCTCATGCCTATAATCCCAGCACTATGGGAGGCTGAGGCTGGCGGATCATGAGGTCAGGAGTTCGAGACCAGCCTGACCATCATGGTGAAACCCCATCTCTACTAAAAACACAAAAATTAGCTGGACATGGTGGCAGGCACCTGTAATGCCAGCTACTCGGGAGGCTGAGGCAGGAGAATCGCTTGAACCCAGGAGGCAGAGGTTGCAGTGAGCTGAGATCACAGCACTGCACTCCAGCCTGGTGACTGAGACTCCGTCTCAAAACAAACAAACAAACAAAACATTCACTTTATTCCTTGAAACATTTATGTCCAGTTCCCTCCATTTCAGAGCCATAAAGCCTAGAGATAAGATACATAAAATACCCAGAACAGACCTTTGTGTGTATACAGTGTATGTATACATACCATATGTAGCATTGTTATGTAGTATTACATAAATTACATGAAATTTTGCATAAGATTAGTAAGCAAGTCACTGAAACTTTATTAACAATAAGTATGGGCTTGGCATGGTGGCTCATGCCTGTAATCCCAAAGCTTTCTGCAGTGGGAGTTTTGCTTGAGGTGAAGAGTTTGAGACCAGCCTGGGCAACATAGGGAGACCCCCCCCATCTCTAAAAAAAAAAAAACAAATAAATTAGCTGGGTGTGGTGGTAGGCACTTGTAGTTCTAGGTACTCCAGAGCACTATTTGAGTCCAGGAGTTTGAGACTGCAGTGAGCTATGATCACGCTACTACCAGCCTGGGCAACAGAGTGAGACCCTGTCTCTTTAAAAACAAAAACAAAGTATGAGCTATCTTCCATTAAAAAACTGATTCTGGAGCAAGGAGCCAGGAGCCGTGGCTCACACCTGTAATCCCAGCACTTTGAGAGGCTGAGGCAAATAGATCCCTTGACTCCAGGAGTTTGAGACCAGCCTGAGCAACATGGTAAAACCCCATCTGTACAAGAAAAAAAAAACTGGCCTGGGCGACAGAACAAGACTCTGTCTTAAAAAAAAAAAAAAAAAAAAAAAAAGGCAGCCTCAGTTTTCTAATTAAATTCTAACATGAGGCAAGCAACTTTACCTGCAAAGTTTTAGTATGTGAATCTACCAACAAACAAAACAAAATTCCATTTTGCATCATTATCCAAGATTGAGAATAAAAGGATCTAACAAATTTATCCTCACACATAAAGGTACTAGAAGGTCAAGTTAGAGATCTAATGAGAAAGTGATATACATACTACATAATTGTTCTGTTGGTTAATATGCCCAAAATAATAGTTACTATCATTACATCTTACAGAAACAAAAACTTTAAGCTTATTACTTTTCAGAAGGAAAAAAGTATCCTATAACTGAAAATAATTTTCGCCACAATAGCAAAATAGAAAAAATAAATCTTCCTGAAACATTAGCAAGAGATTTTAGTTTTTATTTGTTTAAAGAGTATAGGTGGTGGTTTCAAGAAAAGACTTTTGCTAAAAGCAGCTAGCAATAAGATTATGGCTATCAAACCAGTTTCTTTCATAGAAAGTGACCATTCCTTGAAGTGCTACTGTTTTTGAAAGTTTCTTAGAACAGTCTCAGCATTCTAAACAGTCTGTAGTTCTACATATTTGTTGTTGCAATCTTGGGCAGGAAAATCACTAATAACAGGAAACAGAGGCCGGGCACGGTGGCTAACGCCTGTCTTCCCAGCACTTTGGGAGGCTGAGGTGGGCAGATCACAAGGTCAGGAGTTTGAGACCAGCCTGACCAACAGGGTGAAACCCCATCTCTACTAAAAATACAAAAATTAGCCAGGCGTGGCCCTGTAATCCCAGCTACTCAGGAGGCTGAGGCAGGAGAATAGCTTGAACCAGGGAGGCAGAGGTTGCAGTGAGCTGAGTTCACGCCATTGCACTCCAGCCCCGGCGACAGAGCAAGACTCTGTCTCAAAAACAAACAAACAAACAAACAGGAAGCAGAGAGCTTTTTGAAAAATAGCCTTGATCAATCCAACAAATACAGTATTCAGAAACACTACAGAGCAACAAAGTCTTCTCATAAGAGTCATATTTATAGTATTTCTTAACAGAAATATAAACCTAAGAATTCCATTCTCTAGATTCAAAAGATTGGCTTGCTCATAACCAGGTCTCAGCGCAATCTGTCCCCAATATATTTAAAATGCAGTTATAAATTCAAAATAAAAATTCGTTTTAATTTTAAGAAAAATGTCAAGAATTACAAGCCATATTAAAGCAAACTAGTTAGCAGGTTATGATTCCATTACAATTACAATACTGTTGTGCAGAACATTACTGCGGGAACATGCAGAGTACCTTTTTAAAAATAACTTCCCTTGAGTGTATTTGTTTCCGTTGAAGTTGGATTTAATGTTTGAAAATTACCTAAACTCATCTGGACCAGTGGTATCGTGAGTAAGATACGTGATTAAGCTGGATACTTGTGGTTCAAATTAAGTTGTGACTATTAAGAAACTCTACTTACCTTCTTGTGAGACTCAAACTGACTTTAAAACAATTCCAAACAATACCAAGAGAGCCTCTCAAGTGGCTGTTCCAAGTAACAACTATCATTTAAATAATTCATAAATCTTACTTTGAGTGGAAAGTTGAACTACATGGTCTCTGATACCCCTTCCAATGCTCAATCTTTACAATCATACCTCATACATACAAATAATTCCTACACACATTGTATTAGAAATGGGCATCTTATAAAATGGAAGTATTACATAATAGAGTACATTTCCTTGAAACCAATCACATATTAATTTATTCCACCTAAAAACATACTACCATTAAAAGTATAACTGAGCAAATGCAGAAGCCAGCTTCTGGATTCTTAATGATCACTTTAATATGAGTGGAGGTGATTAATACTTATGGTACAGACTCACTAGTCTGCAAAATAATTCAAGAGAAGTCAATATTTATTAGACAATAAAATAATTGTTCCAAAGGATATTTCTAAATAACTTCAAAGAAGTTACCACAAAGTTAAAAAGGAATATCTTCCATGTTAAGTTTGTGATAAAATAATTTAAACACATGATTGACTCTACAAATCTTTTTTACAAATTACTTCAGAAGTTATAAGAGGAAATGTTTTTCTTTTTCCTCTGCTATCTCTTATTTTTTCCTTCCTACTTCTGATCCCCTTAATATACAATATTATTGATGTAAACTCAAGAATTCATGGTAAAAGGCATCTTTTTGCTTCACAGAAATCATGACCTATAGAGAAAACAAGGTAAAAACTAAGGAAAACTGAACATTGAACTTTTTTCAAAAAAATTACAAAATAGGATGTATAACATTATCTTTGGAAAACAGACATTTTCTTTCTACTAGAAATAGCAAAAATCATTCTACATTTTTTCTTCCCCAATTGCATGTTCAATTAGCATACATTCCAACAGTGTGCATGAAAAAATTTCTAAGCCAGAGGTATTTAAGTGATTTCTTCCTAAGTGTTTTGGCTAATTCAGTGGCCAAGAAACTATGATGTTTATTCTCTGATTGGACAGAGTCAAGAAACAAAACAGATATAATTACCAAGGGATAAAGCTGATATGACCCAGCAACAATCTGTCATTACTTCAGCTGTTAGTCGGTCTTCTCCCCCCACCCAGCCCCACAAAAAAAGTTCTGCTCTGCTTAAGTGTACAAGACTCCAGTGAACTTCCAACAGTTTGGCTTCAAGTGACCTAGGAATGGAGTGAGTCATCTGTAAAGCCTGGAGTGGTCCAAATAACACAGATAACTTCAGTAACAACTGGAAACAGCTGGCTCCAAATCAGGGAGCTACCCAATCTTCAGTGACAAGGAGGAAACAAAGTCCAAGCTTCTAAAACACGTAACGACAAGTCCAGGAACGTGGCCGGACATAATCCAAAAATGTGGGCTGCAGTGGGGAAAAATAAGAATGGAAAAATAATTTGTGTACAGAGTAGAGGAGGTGTGGAGATAGGCAGGGATGTTAATATGATACATTGTACATCTCTAAAATGCCTCCCACCATTTCAACAACCCTCAAGGTATAAGCAGCTCACTAATTCAAAAGATGTTCAGTACTTTTATCTATAACACAGATTTATTCAATTAGGTGCTTCACATAAAGCTTTTAAAGTCCAGTAAACTATACACAATTGTGTGGACTTTGACCAGTTTCTAAATAGGCACTATTTCTTTCTGTATCTTTATTTTAGCACAGCCCTACTTTTAGTACCTTAAAATCTAAATGGTGGTTAAGGACGACAAATAGATATATATATATATATTTATATATAACCACCATTTAGATTTTAAGGTACTAAATATTAGTATATATTAGTTAATATATAATATATAAATAAATATATAAATATAAATATATATTATATATACACATATATAAATGACTAATATATACATAAATGACATATATATAAAAATGACTAATACAAGGTTTAAAATTACTGAACTATCAAAGGAGGAGCAAATGAAGCACTACAAAAGTTCAGAAATAGGAAAGAGAGGGAAGCAAGCATTTGAAAAATCATCATGGAAGATGTGGCATCCAAACTGGATTTTGATAGGAGAATAAAATCTGACATGTGGAATCCAGGTGACCAGGGACAGTCAAGAGCAATTACTTCAGATGAACAAAGGAGATTAATATGAAATAAAGAGGGAGAGTTGAGGCAGCCTAACAGACATAGGGTACACAGAAAGAGGGGAAGCTTTGGAGAGGAAACTGATTAATTTCATTATGGACATCTTCAGTTACAGATGCCTATGAGAAATACCCAGGAAATAAATCAAGAAGGTATCCCCTCCAAACCTGGAAGGTTGTAGGGATTGAATGAATTATTAGTAGGGCCACCAAATTTAGCAAATACAAGTACAGGATGCCGAGATGAACTTGAGACAAATAGCTCTATCTGCCATATTTTTTGTAATTTACTGAAAAAAGCAGAATATAGGACATTTGGGGTGTTCTAAGAAACCCAATACAGGAGGCAGGACAAAAATGTTAAATATAGGACACGCCCTATATGCACAAAAAGCCTGGCAATCCTACTTCTTAGGGTGTTTCCATCATGAAATTCTATCCATAACTATAAGCAGTACTTTCAGCTAGTGCTAGTAGATCTAATTAACCAGATCACATCAATTAAATTAACCAGAGTGTTTGCTGGGAAATTCCTATGTCCTATACTGTGTTACTTGAAAATAAAATTCTTAAAAAAAAAAAAAGCCATCCTCCTAAAATCTGTACCCATGTATAGCTAAAAACTAAAGTCCTAAGAATAAATGAAACCTGAATTACCAAAAACAAAAATAGAATCAAGAGAAATGGAAGGATCTCAGTGTTGCCCAATATTTTTACAAGAGTTTATTTAGAAGAAAGAGGTTTAAAAAAAAAAAAAGGTATGTTTTAGGTGGTGGTAGTAGGGACATACATGGCATTAGGAAAACCCTGGAGAATACTTAGAAGGGGCTGGCTGAGCACGGTGGCTCCAGCACTCTGGGAGGCCGAGGTGGGCGGATCATGAGGTCAGGAGATCAAGACCATCCTGGCTAACATGGTGAAACCCCATCTCTACTAAAAATACAAAAATTTAGCGGGCATGGTGGCATGCTCCTGCAATCCCAGCTACTCGGGAGGCTGAGGAAGGAGAATCACTTGAATCCGGGAGGCAGAGGTTGCAGTGAGCTGAGATTGCACCACTGCACTCCAGCCTGGGCGACAGAGTGAGACTCTGTCTCAAAAAAAAAAAAAAAATTAGAAGGGGCTGAAGAAAAGGCAGTAAAAGAAGAAAACCAAAAGCTAGGAGAGTTAAATGTGAAGAAAACTAAACAAAAGGAAAAACTTCAAGTACAATAAGATCAGATGATAAACTAATGCTTTTACTCCTCATTTCCCTCTCTTTAACACTAATTCATCATAATCTCCACTACTGTGCTCCTCAACATTGCCCACCAACTCTCACAAACAGAGAATAAACAGGTTCTTTTGCACTCCAACCAGGTTGGTGACTCACATTTTTCAGAGGACAGTGCTGACGTGCATACCATTCTTGAGAATAAAAGCAGAGTAAGACTCCATTGCCCAAGAAAAGAGAAGTCCACATCAGAACATTCCAAATCGGCTTTTTCCGACTATCATTGACAATGAAGTTGAAAGCCACTAAAAATAGGAAGGCAACAAAGAAATATACAGTTATCAGAGGTCAGAAGTTCGAGACCAGCCTGGCCAACATGGTGAAACCCCATCTCTATTAAAAATACAAAAATTAGCCAGGCGTGGTGGTGTGTGCCTGTAATCCCAGCCACTCGGGAGGCTGAGGCAGGAGAATCACTTGAAGCAGGGAGGCAGAGGTTGCAGTGAGCTGAGATCATACCACTGCTCTCCAGCCTGGGTCACAGGAGTGAAACTCTGTCTCAAAAAAAAAAAAAAAAAAAAAAAAAAAAAAAAAAAAAAAGAAAGAAATATACAGGTATCAAAACATAATTTATCAGAAGATGAGGGACCTCAGGTATCTGCTGTTATTTAATAATCACAGTGAGCAACAACTGTTTATATATTTTTTTATTCTGGTCACTGTTTCTATAAAGAAAAATAAAGCTTCAGTGTTAAAATCAGTAACTTACAAGAAATCAGTGTTTTCAGAACATGTGTATATATATTTCATGGAATTAGAATATTCATATTCCAACTTTTCCCTCTCTACTCACTCAAAAACTTGTCAGTTTTCTAGGGGGTGCATACCGACAATGTTTACGAATGGGAAAGCTGTTTATATAGATAACTTTTATGACCTATCAAATCAGTGTTATCAATGGTCTTCATGAGGTTACCTAGTTCATTTCCCTACTTCAAAGTGTAAATATCTTGAGACAGAGCTGTGTATAATTATTCAAAGTCAATATTCTGACCATCTGATAAAGAAGTACTACCTTAAAATGTTACTACTACTATCTAGTTCTCCTACATTGATTTTATAGTTTCCTTTCTATCTGGTTTTCTTTTTTAGCATAGTACCCAGTACTCACAGCATACCAAGATACTTACTTCCAAAGAACATGAAGAGCACGAAGAGCACGGGATAGAAAAAGCTCAAGCAAACAGCCAAGGCATATTCGTGTACTACAGCAGATACAGCAAAGACAGCTAACATGGCAGCAGATTTGAATCTCTTGGAGAAAAACTAAAGAAAAAGGAAAACACTACAAAGTAATTTTTAAAAATTTAAAGCAAGCATGGATTATATAGGATGTAAAATTATATGCCAAAGGCACCTATTGTATTTGTACTTAATTTTCTAAGTCTACTCCTTGGATTAATCCAAGTCTATTAAAATAACTACAAATCATATACACTTACAAACTCTTATTATTGTTCAAATATCTGAGTCTATTTTCAAAAATATCAATAACTTATGTTTGTAAGTTATTACAACTGACAAAACATAGTTTTCCTATATAAATGAAACATATTGAATTTCAGTCTTTAGAGTAACACTGTATGGTAGATGGGGCAACTGTCCTCTCCATTTTTACACATAACAAAACTAAGATTTCAGAAGGAGAAAAGGGACTTGCCTTATCCGTATGTGAAACTACACTTGAATGACAGAATTAGCACTCAAATATTAATACAATGCTATTTCCACCATAAGATGCTGTCACTAAGCCAAATGGTGCCCTCACTTAATAAAAACTGTAATCTAGATACCTGTTTATCAACCAGGAGATTCAAGATTACATCTCATCAGTCTAAGTATATTCTGCTCTAAAGAATGTCTCAAAGCCAGGTGTCACTGATTGGAGAGATACAAAATCCACACAAAAGTGTTTCTCACAGAAAAGTGTTTCTCACCCGGGCACGGTGGCTCATGCTTGTAATCCCAGCACTTTGGGAGGCTGAGGCGGGCGGATCACCTAAGGTCGGGAGTTCAAGATGAGCCTGACCAACATGGAGAAACACCATCTCTACTAAAAATAGAAAATTAGCTGGGCGTGGTGGTGCATGCCTGTAATCCCAGCTACTTGGGAGGCTGAGGCAGGAGAATCGCTTGAACCCGGGAGGAGGAGGTTGCAGTGAGCCGACAACATGCCACTGCACTCCAGCCTGGGCAACAAGAGCGAAACTCTCTCAAAAAAAAAAAAAAAAAGTGTTTCTCTACCTTTAACCATGAAAAACGAATGAAAAAGACCAAAGGGAGATTATTTGTTGGCAACAAGACTCATAAGAAACTATCCATTATTGGTGGATCATTTCAACTCCAACAACCTCCATGCATTCTTACTTTGTTATGTAAGATAAAATTCAGAGCAAAAGACACAGTATTAGACCTACTAGTGTACACACAGTGGTTTCTAAGCAGTACCATTCAAAGCAGGTTTCTAGATGTAAATTTCTCAAAAGAAAACTGAAAAGATACTATCACCCTTTCCTCATGAGCAATTAAATATAACTTCTTCCAGCTGTATAATACTCATACTTTCTGAAAAAGAATCTCCATTTCATAAATAATATCAACTTAAACCTTGCTACTTACCCAGAGAAAGTCCTTGTAAGCATAGTAATATAGCCAGTCATGGACCACCACATTCCAGGTTCTATAATAGTTGGAGTATGACGTGGAGTTCCACCAATCCTGAGGGAAAAAGTAAAGGTATAAAACTACACACACACACACACACACACACACACACACACACACACACACACACACACACATCCCACCCGAAAGCAAACCCCCCTGACTTCCCAAAGAACATATGTAACAGAAAAATCAAATTATACTGTGATAAACTGTTGGTTCATACACTGGTGACAGAAAAATCTTCAAAGGCATTTTGGTTATTAGTGTTGAATATGACATGAATTCTCATACTATATATGATTTAGTTCCTAGGTTCATACGGAACACATAGAATCATTTAAATCTAATGTTCATCTAAACAGCAATCAGTAAGCCCCACCCCCCTTACCCTACTAGAATGTCATGAGAAAATTCTATGGTCATGAAGACCAGAGAGAGTGCTAACACTAGAGAGCTGTTTGGTGGTTACCATAAATGGCAAAATTATCCAGGGTGAGATGGTGGCTACCTCAAAGTCCTGGTATCCCTATATATGCTTCTTGCTCCCAATATTAAGATCAGATGAATGAAATCAGGTATCTAAAATCTGCAATCCACACTTAAAGTTTCTTTGAGAAAAAAGGTGGTAGACTTGGAGTGTTGCCAAAAACAACTCAAAGAGAGCTTTAGGTAGGGTTAAAGAATGCTATGAGCCATTCTGACTCTAATTCTATAGCTTAATTCCAACTTTAGAAGCATAAGGATACTATCTGAAGCAAAATTAACACCTTTCAAAACTAAAGAGGGAAAAGTTATTTCCCTCATGAACTGCTCAATTGTCTTAAATGGAATAATTTGCTGAGGTCATTCCTACAGAACTAGACGGTCCATTTCAAATGAATGAACACTCAGGGAAGTCTCATGGTGTGCTCTGAACAAACAGTTTCCTACTGGAATCACCAATATATCCTTGCAGGATCCAGCAGAAACCATGTGCTTATGTTAAGGGAGCAGATATTAGAGACAGAAGAAAACACAAGGTTATGCTAGTTATATCTGTAACCGAATTTCAGAAAATACTGGCAAAACTTGTAGAAAAGAAAATTATTTCACAATGTTTGTGTGAAAGGCTGGTGACATTAGCCAACAATGTCAAAATACTAATAATGAAGAAGTTAATAAAATGTAAAAAGAAAGCTAAGTCTAAGTATATACTACCTTATAGAACATCCTGTCACCAAAGCGTAACATCTCAGCAAAGGCATTGAGCCAGCAGTGCAAAAAGGCAAAAAAAGTAAGGAAGAGAATCAGCACACCTAAAAATAAGATTAACAATATTAACAGTCTTTCCAAATAGCTCACATACCAAGCAACTAATTATATCACATCATTTTATTTAGCTGGGATTATTTTGTAAAATATAAGTTATTATTCCAGTTTACCCATTCCAGAGATGATATACTTTTGGAGTTAATTATCTTAATTTTAAAACAGTAACTTCCTTCAAAGTGGGTTCAACAAATGACATTACCCAGTCTGGTTTTTTTTTTTCTTTTTTGAGACAGAGTCCTGCTCTGTCACCCAGGCTGGAGTGCAGTGGCGCGATCTCGGCTCACTGCAACCTCTGCCTCCAGGGTTCAAGCAATTCTCCTGCCTCAGCCTCCCAAGTAGCTGGAACTACAGGCATGTACCACCACATCTGGCTAATTTTTTGTATTTTTAGTAGAGACCGGGTTTCACCATGTTGGCCAGGCAGGTCTCAATCTCCTGACCTTGTGATCTGCCCACCTCAGCCTCCCGAAGTGCTAGGATTACAGGCGTGAGCCATCGCGCCCAGCCTACCCAGTCTGTTTTTAAGAAATGCCTAAATATATGGCTTAACTTAGTACCCAAGGTCCTTTAAAAATCTGGCCCCCATACCCCCCTCTTAAACAATTGTTTAAAACTGGGAGAGATTTTGCCCCCTCTCCCCCACAGGACATTTGAAATTCTAGAGACTTTTTGTTTTTAAAAGACAGGGTTTCACTATGTTGCCCAGGCTGAACTTCAACTCCTGGGGCTCAAGTGATCCTCCCACCTCAGCCTCCAGAATAGCTGGGACTACCGGTGCAAGCTACTGCACCAGTGCTGTGACAATTGGAGGAGAGGGAGTGGTGCCACTGGTATCTAGTTGTTAGAGGCCAGGATGCTGCTGAACAGTTTATGCTACAATGCAGAAGAATGCCACTCCAAACAAAGAATTAACCAGTCCAAAATGTTAATAGTGACATGGTTAACATAGTGACATGGATAACATTCTAAACATATCTCCAGTGATTCTACCCTCTAAGTGTTGTAAACATTATCCACAACTGGGTTTATGCCATTCCAGAATGCTCCATGCCCTTGCATCCATCCCACTACCTAGAATGACCTTTCCACCAATTCTCTGCCAGGCAAATACCTACCTATTTTTCAATACCCAATATTAAATGTTATCTCTAATGTGAAACAAAGGCCATAAGCATTTTGTTTATCCTACTTATGTAGTACATATTACAATATATTGTAAAATATCCATTTATATGTCCATCTCTTTCACTCATTTATTGAAAAATATATATTTATAGAGCATCAACTATGTACCAGACAATATGAGAGAGACTGTGATTGGCTATAAAACACAATCCTTGAACTCAATAACTTTGCAGCTAGTGAGGAAGACACTCAAGTATGTAACACATATTCTATTTTAGGGACAGATACAGAGTTCATTCAAATAAGTCCTGGGGCTGGTGAGGGAGGGTTACTGGAAGAGGAATGCAAGAGAAGAAAAGAAAGGGAAGGTGATGACAGAAAACATTACCAACATTCAATGAGTAAAGAAAAGAGGAAAAGTAAGGGAAACTATAAAAGCTCCCAGACTGTAAAGATAATACATCTCTTGTTCACTTCTGAGTCCTCTGCACCTGGCATAGTACTAGGTACTCATATATCTCTATAATAGACAAAAAAATGCAATAAATATATTTAAGAAATCAAGGTATGGTCGGAAAGACAGGAGGAAAATAAGAAATAGTGGCAAAAGGCCAAGCATGGTGGCTCAAGCCTGTAACCCCAGCACTTTGAGAGGCTGAGACAGGAGGATAACTTGAGCCCAGGAGTTTGAGAATGGCCTGGGCAACATAGGGAGACCCCGTCTCTCCAAAAAATAAAAACTTAGCCAGGCATGGTGGCATGCACCTGTAGTCCCAGCTACTGAGGCGAGAGGATCACTCGAGCCCCAGAGGTCGAGGCTAGTAAGCCATGATGACACCACTGCATTCAGACTGGGTGACAAAGAGAGACCCGATTTCAAAAAAAAAAAAGGCAAGAAAACAGTGACAAGAGAGATTTAAAAATGTGGTCAGCAGCACCCAATGCTTCATGGAGGTCAACTTGGATAAGGGGTAAAGTACATCTTAATCCATCCACTGGATTAGAATATGGATTACTAGTAATTTCTACAAGTAATTTCTACAAGTTACTAGTAATTTCAACAAGGGGCATTTAAGTGGCTTGGTGGAATCAGGAGCAAGATTACAATGAACTTAATAGCGAACAGGAAGACACAGCATGAATGTGGACTGTCCACTGTCAGAGAAAGGCACAACTTGAGTGAAAGCCATAAGATGAAAGACTGACCTGAGACTGGATGAAGGATACTTCATTTATAAAGTAGATGCAAAAGAGGTCAAGATGGGCATAGATGTATAGAAGTTTAGATGAAAAAGTAGGCAAAGCAAAGGTGCTCATAGGCAATAGCTTTCTATTTACCTCGTGAATTTATGCATGACCAAATTAACAAGTACCCATGTTACCTGGCAAGATGGAGTTAAATACACATAGGACCAGAACACGAGCGCTGAAGGGCTCCTGTTTGATATTCCGAAACAAGGGGGCACAAAGCCTTTCAAAGATGTAGTACACATAGAAAAAGCAACCAAAGACCTGGAACATAACAGAGACAGAATTATAATAACGATGGCTTAATAAGATGGAAGGCGATTTTTTTCTCTCCAAAAGAAAGTACAGATGTGACCCTTACAGTAATGTTCGCATATGTATTCCATTTAACACTAGTATAGAAGACTGCTATAATCCTTCAGGGAGATTACTCAAGCCTAGTTTCTACCATCACTTTTCCTAACCCTTTACCAAATGATATTTTTAGAAGAGCTTACTCTTGGAACCTGTTTTCCTGCTGCTTAAAACCCGTAACATGGCCGGGCACAGTGGCTCACGCTTGTAATCCCAGCACTTTGGGAGGCTGAGGCGGGTGGATGACTTGAGGTCAGAGTTCGAGACCAGCCTGGCCAACATGGTGAAACCCCATCTGTACTAAAAATACAAAAATTAGCCAGGCGCAGTGGTGGGCACCTGTAATCCCAGCTACTCAGGAGGCTGATGCAGGAGAATCGTTTGAACACAGGAGGTAGAGGTTGCAGTGAGCCAAGACTGCATCACTGCACTCCAGCATCGGTAACAGAGCAGGACTCCTTCTCAAAAAAAAAAAAAAAAAAAAAAAAAAAAAAAAAAAAAAACCCCTTAATGAAAGAACTTACTTCATAAATGGGCATTTGATTGAGACACTAATTTAAAATGGGATCTTCCAGGATTAATGATTCTGATGGAGGTGGGAGGAGGAATGGGTAAGAGTCAGACTATACCCACATACATATATACCTCCCCCAAAAACAGGAAGGAAGGGGGAAATTAATGCTTACTGAAATAACCAATTAGAATTACTTTATAAATAATACATTCTTTTTTTTTTTAGATGGAGTCTTGCTCTGTCGCCCAGGCTGGAGTGCAGAGGAGTGATCTCAGCTCACTGTAACCTCCATATCCCAGGTTCAAGCAATTCTCCTGCCTCAGCCTCCTGAGTAGCTGAGATTACAGGTACGTGCCTCCACGCCAGGCTAATTTTTGTATTTTTAGTAGAGATGGGGTTTCACCATGTTGGCCAGGCTGGTCTTGAACTCCTGACCTCGCGATCTGCCCACCTAGGCCTCCCAAAGTGCTGGGATTACAGGCGCAAGCCACTGCGCCCAGCCTAATATATTCTTTTATTAAAGAAAATTACTTTTGATGTTGGCAAAACAAACACCATTTACCGTACTGGAAATAGTTTAAAAGACTGCATAATGTCAACAGAAAGCATTCTTAGCTCCCAATTAGATTTAACTAGATTATATTATTATCATAAATATGAATCCCCATCCCCTAATCAACATACCTTAGGCAGTTACAAAAACTTACCTGTGCAAACTTCATAGCGACATAACCCCATCTTACAGTGGGATTCCTGAAAAAGAAAGAAACAAAAATAAGGTTTCTAAATAAAGTAATTGAACTTGAATAAAGACCCTCACAATTAATGTTTTTTGGTCAGGCGCGGTGGCTCACACCTGTAATCCAAGCACTTTGGAAGGCAGTGACCAGGAGTTCGAGACCAGCCTGGCCAATATGGTGAAACCCCGTCTCTAATAAAAATACAAAAAAACCAACCGGGCGTGGTGGCACACACCTGTAATGCCAGCTACTTGGGATGCTGAGGCAGGAGAATCACTTGAACCCAGGAGGCAGAGGTTGCAGGGAGCCGACATAGCACCACTGCACTCCTGGGTGACAGAGCAAGACTCCCATCTCAGAAAAAACTAAAATTAATTAATTAATAAAAAATAAATTAAAAATAATAAAAATAAATAAAAATTAATTAATTCAGAACATCATTTATGACCATATGAAATACTTTATAATTCTGTCAAGAATTACTATAATCAAATTAGACTTCCCTACTCACCATTTGAGGCTTCTCAGGTCAGACAGAAAATGAAAACTCATTCTATATTTTCTATGTCCCTACATGAACTGGCCCCTGTTTACCTATCCCACCTCACTCATGCCACACTTTTGGTGTTTACCACATTTCTGGTTCACAGTACCATTACCTGGGATAGCTGTCACGGTAGATAAGGGTAGGAGCAAATAAGAAGTACAAATACTGGTTGACTGTAGGTATTGGAACAGTGCCTAGAAAAGGAAAACTATAGTTAGAGCAAAGGCTCTTTGATTTTTCACAGCAAAAATACAGGGGGGAATATAAGGAAGCACAGAACAGGGAAGAATAAAATGACTTATCAGCTCATGTTCTTTTTTCCTGATCTCCGGAATGACTTCTTATTCTTGCACGAATTGAATATTACCAATCTCTTTAAACCAAGTTATTCCTGTGACTGAGATAACTTCTAGAGTGTGAAGCAACAATTTGCAAAGAATAGGCAGGCACAGGTGTAATGAGGCTATTAACATTCCATAAAAATAATGCAAAGTTGCAAAAGATAATCAATTTTTTAAAATTGTAGGTTCAAGGGCAAAGCCGGAATAGTCAGGAAACAATGAAGTGGTCCTCAAAATCAATATGGATAATATATATTTGAAATAAAACACAATCTCTACATTATATAATGTGACATCCCAGAAAACAACAAAGGGTGAAATATCCAGCCAATAATCCTTTAAACTAATGAAATTACACAAAGAAAAGAAAAGAAAAAGAGAGAGAGAGAGAAAGAGAAAGAGAAAAAGAGAGAGGGAGGGAGGGAAGGAAAGAAGGAAAGAAGGGAAGGGAAGGGAAGGGAATGGGGTGGGGGGAGAGGAGGGGAGGGGAGGAAGAAATAATGAACAAAAGAAATTACATACTTGATTTCTCCTTAGCTGAATTTAGTACCCGAGGCACGTTCTCTCTGACAAATGAGTGGGCCTTCATTACAAAACGAATCTACAAAAGCAGGAGGAAAAAGATGTCTCTTCAAAGAAAGTCTCCTGCAAGTGTCCTTTCCATTAGTCAAATGCATTATAGATAGCCAGTAAAGTCAGAAAATCCTGATAAGTGTATAAACAAATTAAAATAAAACCTTTATTATATAGTTACATGACAAAACAATGAATCTGACATTTCAAAAGTGAAGTTTTTAATTATGAAAATATTTTATAATTTAAATGACTTTTACAAAAAGTATTCAGAAACAAAATCTTGATGCATCAAAAATAATTCAATGTGGCCGGGCGCGGTGGCTTACGCCTGTAATCTCAGCACTTTGGGAGGCCGAGGCAGGCGGATCGTAAGGTCAGGAGTTTGAGACCAGTCTAGCCAATATGGTGAAACCCCATCTCTACTAAAAATACAAAAATTAGCCGGGTGTGGTGGCAGGCGCCTGCAGTCCCAGCCACTTGGGAGGCTGAGGCAGAAGAATCACTTGAACCTGGGAGGCAGGGGTTGCAGTGAGCCGAGATGGTGCCACTGCACTCCAGCCTAGGTGACAGAGCGAGACTCTGTCTCAAAAAAAAAAAAAAAAGTTCAACGTAATTTATTTATCAAAATTCAGAGAACATGGAAGCTACAATGAAACTTAAGAGGTGAGATGATTCTAGTTTAACAATTTTACAGATAATGGCAAAAGAACAATATATGAAAATTTATCCAAGTTAATACAGCTAAAAATAATAGTATCAGTATGTCATCATCATTATTATTATTTTAGCCGAGGACAGCATCGCCTTGGGTAACACTTAAAACCTTACCTGCTCGAATATAATGATGAACCGGGAAGCTGGTGGCAGTGTATATGCTAACACAACATATGTTGGTCCAAAACCTAGAACTCCAATCTGGAAGATCATGAAAAGAAAGCCATGGAAGAGAGAACGGATCAGCGGATGAGAACTCTTGCTATAGCCAGTGGCCCAATGTTGAAACAGAAAATAGGGAACTGAAAATGTAGACAGGAACATGATCCACCAGGTCCAAACAACGGTAGGAAATTTGCCAAAAGCATAAGACAGGAGGCTGAACTCAAGCACCAGCCTGGGGAGAAAAGGTACAGAAAAAGAACATAGAGGTGAATTTTTAATATACACTGAGTTCACAGAATTTAAAAGTTTCAAACACCAAACTTTCAACCTTAGGAAACACCACAACGTTAATACGCTGAAGTCATGGATGTAATAGTTCTGCTAGTTAGAGATCTGCTTCTAACCATCTGCTTTACAATATATATATATATATATATATCAACAATATATGTTCTTTAGAAACAAATTTTCTAAAAGCCCTAAGATAAATACAGTCTTCAAACTTAAGATATCTAAGATAATTGGACTTTGAACTTCTGAAAGATTAGATTCTCACATTAATTTTCTAACTGTAAAATATTCTATGGAAAATATTCAAACAGCAATCGTTCTTATGTACAAAAGATGATTTTTCAGAAGAAATAGGTACAATTTAAAAATATGTTAATATACTATACCATTATCTCCAAACTTAATTTTCAAAAAAAGTACATAATTCAATCCATGATTACCACGCTGTCATTTTTTAAGCTACAATTTGAGTTTTAAAATTTTATTTTGAGATCTGGTCTCCTTTGCATCCAGGCTGGAGTGCAGTGGCACAAACACAGCTCCACTGCAGCCTCAACCTCCCTGGCTCAAGCGATCCTCCTATCTCAGCCTCCTGAGTAGCTGGAACTACAAGTGTCTGCCACCACGCCCAGCTAATTTTTAAATTTTTTGTAGAGATGTTGCCCAGGCTGGTCTCCAACTCCTAAGCTCAAGTGATCCTCCCGCCTCGGCCTCCCAAAGTGCTGAGATTACAGGCACAAGCAACCATGCCTGGCCTATAATTTGACTTTCACATTAAAAAGAAATATCAACTTTTTCAACCTTCAATTCCAATAAGCTACTTGTTTTAAGTAACCATCTTAAATAAAGACAATCAAAAAGTTAATAAGTCATATACAGTTATCCCTCCCTATACATGGGGGGTTGGTTCCAGGAAACTGTGCAGACACCAAAACTTATGCAAATTCGAGGCCCACAGTTGGCCCCGTGGAACCCACAGATATGAAAAATCTGCCATTCTTATATGTGTGTTTTGCATCCTGGAATACTCTAGATCCCAATCAGCCTTTGCTTGCAGATGTAGAACCCATGGATACAGAGTGCTAAACACATTGATTGAAAAAATTCTGTGTATAAATAGACATGCACAGTTCAAACCCGTGCTGTTCGTAGGTCAACTGTGTATAAAGTTCTCCCATTTGGGAAAATTACCTAGAAATTACTGATTATGGTCTATTCAAATAAACCATTTTAAAAATAAAAGTAATGAAACTTCTAATTTTCTCCATCAGTTAAACTTTTCAGGGCAAAGGAATATCACCCTCAAATCTGCTGCTTTAGGATTTCCTGAAGCAATTTAATCAATTTACCCTTTACCAAAATTTAGTGAAAACCTCTAACTTCTCATGCATCAACTAGCCAGCCATCTTTTTTGTTGTCTTACCTTCCTTCATCAATGTAATCTACTACAAGTGTGCTGAGGATAAAGAGAATGAGGAGGGCAATAAACATGTGATATATTGTTCTGATGTGGTCCACTTCAAGCAGTTCACTGTAAATGTAGTTCAAACAAAACAAGTTAATAATGTATATTTAAATTTAAAACACCATAAAATCTTTTCTTAAAGCAGTTAACTTAAAGCAGTTGAGAAGATGCTTAATCCACTCTCCAAAAACATCTCAAAAAAGAATGGTCTACATTCTTTAAAACCTACCAGAAATGGATGTTTTCTAAGTAAACAAAGGCCAGTCACTAAAAACAGGAAACAAACTATTTCAAATGTTAAGAATTTTTTAATCCTATTCATATTCTACTCCCTAAATTTAATATATATTAAGTACTACCTATTTCCAAAATGTTAAAATTGACATGAGTTTCTATAATGTTGATCATGATGATGATGATAACCAATTACTACCCTACACGTCTATAAAACTCAACCATTTACAAAGATTTTACCTTCTCATTGACTTTTGTATTTAAGACTGGTCTAATTTTCTTTTAGAATATAACAATAATATAGATGACTTTTCCTAAATAATCTTTTATATCTGACTAAAACAGGTTTTTAAACTTGTTTTAACTTGTTTTTGGAAAGATAATGCTAATCTTTTAAATGATTTTGAGTAATCTAATATACTACTACTCAATCTCTGGACCAAGGATCTTCACAGTCTAATAAAAACTCATCTAAGCCATAGAAAACATGTTTTGTTTCCTTGGTTAAAAATTTTTTTAATATGTAATTTTGTTTATTTTTCATGTATAAATTCTATCATTAAAATCCTAATTATAATGTTTAAAATAAATTTTCTTTTCCCTTTTATGTGAAAAGCCTGCGTTTTCCCCCAGATGTAAACTTTAAAAGATTAATTCCTTCAAACTACAGTGTAACAGAACACTTAACACTATACATTACATGCTTAGAAAACACTGAACAGCACATTACATGCTTAGAAAACCGGCCTTCTTATCTAGGGGAAGTAGTAAACATCAACTTGACTCACAGAAAGTAACTTTTGATAAGCATAAGATGTCTTTTTAAAGAAAAGTACACTTTTTTTTATTGAGACAGCCTTGCTCTGTCACCCAGGCTGGAGTTGCTGGGTGTTGCACCTGGTGCTCAGGCTGGAGTGCAGGGGCACAATCTCAGCCCATGGCAACCTCCACCCTTCCGGGCTCAAGCGATCCTCCTGTCTCAGACTCTTGAGTAGCTGGGATTACAGGCATGCACCACCAAGCCTGGCTAATTTTTTGTATTTTTTGTAGAGAGAGACTTGCCGTGTTGCCCAAACTGGTCTTGAACTCCTGGACTCAAGCGATCTGCCTGTCTCAGCCTCCCAAAGTGCTAGGATTACAGGTGTGAGTCACAGTGCCAAGCCCAGATAACCATTCTTATCCCTAACTCCTCTTTTGAAACTAGATACAGAACCAAAAGATCAGAAAGGAGCAAGAGAGAGCATAGAAGAAAAAAACCCACTAATGATTTATACAGATACAGAACTCATTACATGTCCATATACTAAGCAATGATTCTATCAGAATAGTTTTTTAAAAATCAAACATATTTAAAAACAACTAAAAATACTCACTCTAAGAGAGAGCGCCTTGCAATAAAAATCTTTCCTTGTTCTGGAGGTGCTCTCAAATCCCTGAGAAGAGGAAAAATTAAAACAAGATATAAGTACTTCAAGTATTATAAGAAATCTAATCCCACAGACAAGAGAATATACCAATAACACCATCTAACATTAATTGACCAATGACCTTTTCACTACTAGGATTACAGATGCCCGCCACCATGCCCAGCTAAAACAGATCCAAATATTGTGTTACAGTTTTATGTATGTTACTTCATTTACCCTCTCTGTGAGGCAGGTACATACACAACTCTTAAGAAGGGAAAGCTCGCCACACCCAGCCCCTATGGACTTTGGCAATCACTTTTCCTTCTTGTAGAGAATGGCAAGGTCGCCACACTCAGCCCCTATGGACTTTGGCAATCACTTTTCCTTCTTGTAGAGATCCCCTAAGGTCATAAACAGGCCTCTAAGCACACTCTACTCCAGGTCATATATACTGTTACTGATCTGTCCTCTGAAACTGCACTGATGTTTACCATACCCTTCCTGATATCAAGGGACTTCCAGCAACTCCCAACAGCCTCCTGATCTTAAAGGTTGCTGCAAGTTACTAAAAACTCCCATTTTAACATCTTGCTTATCTTCTTTAGGGCTTTTCGTACTACTACCAGCACTTAACTATAATTGGTCAAAACTATTCTCCAGAACATCAGTCTATGCCTCCAAACAGGGGCATAAAACTGAGAAGAGCATGGAATGGCAAGTTAACACATATTAGCCTTTGATAGCCTTCACTCGATTATTCTGGATGAACCATCAATTAGAAAAGTATATACTAATCGCATTGTACTTTATTACAACAATTGTATAGCAAATAGAGAGGCACGTAATGATATGATTTTTTTTTTTTTTTGAGTCAGTCTCACTCTGTCACCCAGGCTGAAGTGCAGTGGCGTGATCTCAGCTCACTGCAACCTCCTTCCCCCGGGTTTGAGTGATTCTCCTGCCTCAGCCTCCCGAGTAGCTGGGATTATAGGCACTTGCCATGGCACCCGGCTAATTTTTGTATTTTTAGTAGAGACGGGGTTTCACCATCTTGGCCAGGCTGGTCTTGAACTTCTGACCTCGTGATCCACCTGCCTTGGTCTCCCAAAGTGCTGGGATTACAGGCGTGAGCCACCATGCCCAGCCATTATATGATTAAGAGCAAGGACTCTAGAGCTAGACTCTAGGTTCAAATCCCTGCTATGTAATTTTGGACATTTAATTAAGTACTCTGTGCTTTAGTTTCCTAATCTGTAACATGCGGATAGCTACAGTTATCTGTCTCATAGGATCACTGTTTGGTTTAAATGAATTCATCATGTAGAGCACTCAGCAAGTGTTGGCTATGTTGTTTTATTAGTCAGTATTTTTTTTTTTTTTTTTTTTTTTTGGAGACAGGGTCTCTGTTGCCCAGGCTGGAGTGCAGTGGCATGATCTTGGCTCACTACAACCTCTGCCTCCCAGGTTCAAGCGATTCTCATGCCTCAGTCTCCTGAGCAGCTGGGACGACAGGCGGACGACAGGCGTGCACGACCACGTCCAGCTAATTGTTGTATTTTTGGTAGAGATGGGGTTTCACCCTGTTGGCCAGGCTGGTCTCAAACAACTGACCTCAAGTGATCCACCCGCCTCGCCCTCCCAAAGTGCTGAGATTACAGGTATGAGCCACCACACCTGACCTTATTAGTCAGTCTTTTTTTTTTTTTTTGGAGACAGAGTCTCTCTCTGGAGTGCAGTGGCATGATCTCTGCTCACTGCAACCCCCGCCTCCTAGGTTCAAGCGATCCTCATGCCTCAGCCTCCTGAGTAGCAGCAATTACAGACGCCCGCCACCACGCCCGGCTAAATTTTGTATTTTTAGTAGAGACAAATGGTTAAATAACCATGTTGGCCAGGCTAATCTTGAACTCCTGACCTCAGGTGTTCCACCTGCCTCAGCTTTCCAAAGTGCTGGGATTACAGGCGTGAGCCACTGTGCCCGGCATTAGTGTTAAAAGAGGTATGCATGTATGTTATAATTTATATGTAAAGACAAAGAAATCCCCATCCTCCTTCAAATGGTTAAGTAACTTTCCCAATGTAACACACAGCCAATAGAAAGTGACACCAGGGTGTGAACTCAAGCATATTTGCCGCAGTCCATTTTCACCATTGAACTATACTGAGTAGATGTTTGCATTAAAAGAAAATAGCACATACTTACTTCGCTCTATGGTTGTTTTTCTCTCCTTCAAGAACAGAAAAGGTTGTGAGAGCGCACCCACCATTATCTAATGATGCTGACTTTTCAATGAGATTGGTCACAAAATCATCAAAGTGACTGCCAACTTCCTTCATAAAAAATGGCTTCAATTCCTAGAATTTTAAAACAAAGAAAAAGATGGGGAACTAATACATGCTTGTGAGTCATTAGCATTTCTCTAAAGGGCTCCCTTAAACAGAGCTGGATCAAAAGAAAGACATAGTGAGTTCGCAGGAGTAAAAGCAAAAAATCAATTCCTGTATCTGACTTGAAGTTTCAGAAACAGCTACCTAAAAGGCAACATAGTGATTTATACCCTTTTAAAATGTATACCCCTTGTAAGCATAAAACAAAATACCTCAGCCTCCCAAGTAGCTAGGATCACAGGTGTGCGCCACCACTGCCGGCAAATATTTTATTTTTTGTAGAGATAGGGTCTCCCTATGTTGCCCAAGCTGAACTCTAGGGCTCAAGCAATCTTCCCGCCTCAGCTTCCCAAAATGTTAGAATTACAGGCAGGCGGCACTGTGCCTTATCCCCACGTTATAATTACCATGATTCTAAGTTCTCTTTTTTCTTTCTTTTTTTTTTTTTTTTTTTTTTGAGATGGAGTTTTCCTCTTGTTGCCTAGGCTGGAGTGCAATGGCACGATCTCGGCTCACCGCAACCTCCGCCTCCTGGGTTCAAGTGATTCTCCTGCCTCAGATTCCCGAGTAGCTGGGATTACAGGCATGCGCCACCACACCTGGCTAATTTTGTATTTTTCGTAGAGACAGGGTTTCTCCATGTTGGTCAGGCTGGTCTCCAACTCCCAACCTCAGGTGATCCGCCCACCTCAGCCTCCCAAAGTGCTGGGATTACAGGCACAAGCCACCGCACCTGGCCCAGTATTGTAAATTTCTTTCACAATCTCCCTCATCTATGACCCCAACCTCTGACACCTCAGACGGTACAGAATGTCACTTATAAGGTAACTATTTTAATATGATCAATTCATGTATTTTCTTTTCTTGAAGTAACATTCATATGTGAGTAGTTTAGGTATCCATATGCGAGACAAAATAACAAACCACAAAAAAAGCCATATTTACTCATTTCTGCTTGCCAACACAATTTCACAAAGTTCTTGACTCTATGATGATACACAGCTTTCCAAATACTTTTAAGACAAAATAAAACACACACTCCCCCCACATATCTTGCCTAAGTCACTATATTCCTTGAAGATAATAACCTTGCCTTTTCCTATAAATGACAGTTAGTAATTACACTTCTATAATCTATAACCAAATATACTCTTACACCAAACCTTAACATATTCTACTCTAATATAACTTCTAACTTCTAAACAAACGTAACATAATTTTACATATGCGAAACCCCCACCACCTATACATAAACAGTAGACTAAAATACAGTGCCAGAAAAGGCTAACAAAACCTCTCTAAAAGACTACTCCCAGGCAGCAGGCTCTGTCTACAGTTCTCAATAAGACTTCTAAATACAATAACTTTAATTCTTAAAAAGCTTTTCTTTAGTTGACAATCACAGCGACTATGAAGGGGCTCAAGAATAGACTGCCCAGGGTCATCTAGAGCATTGCAAGGAACTGCAGCCTTGGTATAGCACAGGCCCCTTGAGCCCCTCTGGCTCCGCCATGGTTGCAGCCGACTGGGTGAGCTTCTGACCTCCCATTTGGTTGACAGTCCTGAATATTATTCAGCTAGCTGCTTTCACCACTTGACAAAAAATGAGTTCTTCCTTGAAACTTTTTTTTTTTTTTTTGAGACGGAGTTTCACTCTTATTGCCCAGGCTAGAGGGCAACGGCATGATACTAGCTCACCGCAACCTCCACCTCCCAGGTTCAAGCAATTCTCTTGCCTTAGCCTCCCAAGTAGCTAGGATTATAGGTATGCACCACCACACCCAGCCCATTTTGTACTTTTAGTAGAGACGGGGTTTCTCCATGGTGGTCAGGCTGGTCTCGAACCTCAGGTGATTCGCCCGCCTCGGCCTCCCAAAGTGCTGGGATTACAGACGTGAGCCACCGTGCCCCGCCTGAAACTTTTACCTTTTTAAATAGAGATGTGGTCTCACTATGTTGGCCAGACTGGTCTTGAACTCCTGGCCTCAAGTGATCCGCCCACCTCAGCCTCCCAAAGTGCTGGGATTACAGGTGTGAGCCACTGTGCCCAGCCAAGACTTTGTTTTTTTTTTTTTAGAAGAGGAATATCCTAGTTAAAAGATACTATGAAGAAAAAGATATGTGAGGCTGTCTGATTGGCCAGGTTGTACAGGTGTTTTCCCTTTCAATTTGATTCTATAAATGAAGCTCGGCAGGATAGAAACTATTACACATGGATAACGGTCTGGAACTGAAAACACACAGGATAGCACCTGACACAGTTGTCACTCTCCAGGTATTCATTGTTCCAACCTCTCCCCCTCAGTCTGAGCTAACCTATGAGGAACAATAAAACAATGTACAATAAAAATTGTAATTTAAGCAAATCCTATCATTTAGTCCTTTTATTGTTAAAAGGTAACTAAACCTACCACATTCCTTTACATGGCATTATAATTACATGCCTAATGTTCATTTCCTAATGCCCTTCTCCTCTTTCTCTGAGGAATTAAAGTTGATAGAAGGTGCTGCCACTGGGGCACAAGGAAGAAAGAACTCTGCTCTGTGGACGCTTACATTTCCTGAATCTCCTCCTTTCACAGATCCTAGCAGTGATGACAATAACGAGTAACTGCTTATTATTGTTACTCCCTTTGTAAGAGGGAATATTAAGAAATATAGTACAAGAAACAGTCCACTTCTGCCTTCTGACTTCTATCACATGAAACTTGTTAATTAGAACTCAGTATGTGATCACTAATAAATCTGAATAATGTCTGGTATCAGTAACCTGAAAATAATGTTGAGGTTATAGTCTTTCTAATTTGCTTATCTTTTCAATCTCGTATCTACTGATATTAATTTCATGCAGCCAGTGGACTCTGACAGCCCTAGCACCATGACAGATGGATGGAGAGAAGGAAGGAAGGGAGAAGCGGCAGAAGGGAGGAGGCAGTTAACTAGGAACTAAAAAAGGTGCTTTTTTAGGTAATCTAGTAAACTACATTTTTAGAGCTTAAGGAAACCTTTTGTATTAAATAAGCAGCTGAATTAGATAACCTCTAAGATTCCAAGAATAGGGATCAACCATAATACAAAGACCCTATGGTTGGAACACATAGTTAAAGGAACAGATGATAATGATCAGAGATAAGGCTGGAAAAGCAAGTAGGGACTAGATCATGGACCTTTAAGCCATTTTAAGAATTTTTTATCCTAAAGACATCTGGAAGCCAATGACATTTTAAGCACAAGATTTGTAAACATGTTCAGATTTGCATCTTAGAAAGATAACTCTTCTACCTAAAAAGGCTTCCAGGCAGAGATTACTTTGGACTGAGTATTACAATGAAAAAAGGTCAGGGTCATTTATGGGTAAATAACTCTTTCAAAGGTACAGAGACATAAAACAATCTTAAAGTATGCTGAAAGAAAAAAACAAAGTAAACCAATCAGTAAATAATAATATTTTCAGTGTCTCAAAAAAAAAGTAGGTCCCTTGATCACAATTTCTTCATAAATGGTTTTAAAGAACATTAACTCCACAAGGTCATATATTGCTAGTCTAAAAATTATTTCTTCCTCTGATTTGCTGCCTGTCTTTGCACAGAGAATCTTTTAATCTTGGTGGCATGGTACCAGAAACCTGACCTTTCTGAGCAAAACAAGTAACACAATGGAACAGGTAATACAGTGCTTAGGACTTACACTAAATTGACTCCTCAGAAAGGTCTCCTGATAATTCACTCTAAAGTTCTTTCTATTCTCTCTTACTGAATCTCATTCTTTTCCTTCATTGCACTTACTTGAAATTCTATATATTCAAGTGTATATGCTCTTTGGCATCTCACTGTCTGCCCCCCACCCAACTGATTTTAAACGATGTATCTTTTTGTTAACTGATAATTTTGTATTTTTAGTAGAGACGGGGTTTCACAGTGTTGCCCAGGCTGGTCTCGAACTCCTGGCCTCAAATGATCTGCCTGCCTTGGCCTCCCAAAGTGCTGGGTTTACAGGCGTGAGCCACTGTGCCTGGCCAAAGAACATTTTTAAGGTATCTAATTAAGTCACTGTTCCCCTTGCTCATGCATTTTGCATATAGTGTTCTCAGTTAGCATGAGAACAGAAAACACAACTTCTTTAAAATCCCAGCACTTAATGTAGTACCTGATAGACAAAGAAACCAAGCAGGCATTCATTAAATTGAACTGCTAAACATTCGAGGGCAACAGGACAGGTACCTGTCTACCTTTTGTAAGTGATGAAATCATAAAGCACAATAAACTGACTTTCACAAAATTATTCAAAATAGACTAGAGATTCTTACACTCGTGCATTTAAATGAGAAAAGGCAGAAAGGAAAATATCAGAAAAATGTATAGTCACACTTGCATAGCAAAAAGGTGAAATTTGACCAGTAGATTGGGACAGCAAAGAAAAATGGACAGCCATAGTAGAAACTGTTATTTGTCAACCCTATCAGTGCCTACCCCCTTTCTTAGTACTAGAATCCCTGATTTCTATCTGGGCACATGACTGCTTAGAGTAAATAAGTTTCCCAGTCTCTCTTTGCACCTAGGTAGCCAATGAGATACAGGTGGAAATGATTTGTCAAAGTCCACAGAAAATTTCCTTAACAGACACAGATACCTGTTCCTTACCCCCACTCCTTTCCTTCCCTCAATTTGGCCACTTGGAACTCAGACAAAATGACTAGAGCCATGTGGGCAATAAGGAGGACCACAGCCTATGAATGTGAAACTGCCTTTGCAAAGACTACGACAGTGAGAAACGTCTACCATGTCTGACTCCATCATGCTTCTAGCCTCACAGGCTGGCCATCCTTGCTCATTCCTGAGCAGAGGCCAATCTAACTCTGGGAGAAATTCATAGTTCAACTTTGATGTAAATAGTCCCTCCCCAAAATTGACCCCCTTCCTTGTTGGGAACTGAAACCACCTTTGTAAGACTAAAGAAAGGCCACAAGATTAGGATTATGGGAGGGACCTGAATTCTGCTAAAACGTAGGCACAGCTTGCCTTTCTATAATAGTTTACTGTACCCAAAGTCACAAGATTTGTGACTTCCCCAACCGCTCCTATGGAGAACATCACTATTATAGAACCTAAGATTGGTCTTCTGAGATGTTTTTCTGATCTTTGAATTCTGGCGACTGACCAGCTTGCCCCCTAAACCCATGACTGGTCCTGTGACCCCCACCCAGAGGCTGACTCTGCGCATGAGAACTGTCTTCCACACCCTTATGATTTCAACCCCAACTAATCAGCAGCATCCACTCCCTAGGTCCCCTGCCTGCCAACTTACCATAAAAACCCTAGCCTCTGAGTTCTCAGCAGCTGGTGTGTATAATAAACTCCTGTCCTTCCACTTGGCTAGCTTTGCATTAAACTCCTTCTCTACTGCTTTACCACTGTCTCAGTCCATTGGTTTTGTCTGTGCAGAGGGTAAGAAGAACCCAACGGGCAATTACAAATGGTGAGGCAGGGAACTGGAAGGAACCAAACCAGGGTCCTTAAGGACCATGGAGCCAGTATCAGCTATGGACCTGCTACCTCTGAACTGTTGACATGAGAAAAAGAAATTACTAATCTTGTATAAGCCCCTATTATTTTGTTCACTATTACAGCAAAACCCAATCTTAACTTACACAATAATCACAGGATTTCTGGGCAGAAAATACTTAAGACTTGTCTCTCCAGCAGTCGGCCAATAAATCAATAGATAAACACTATCCAAAAACTTCTTTTTTTTTTTTTTTGAGATGAAGTCTTGCTCTGTTACCCAGGCTGGAGTGCAGTGGTGTGATCTCAGCTCACTGCAACCTCCACCTCCTGGGTTCAAATGATTCTCCTGCTTCCAGAGTACTTGGGACTACAGGTGTATACCACCAGACCCGCCTAATTTTTGTTGTATTTTTAGTAAAGATGGGGTTTCACCATGTTGGTCAGGCTGGTCTCGAACTCATGTGATCCGCCAGCCTCAACCTCTCAAAGTGCTGGGATTACAGGCGTGAGCTACCATGACCGGACCAAAAACTTATTTAGAAGGCGTTACTTGAATGACTGAAAAAACATGGTGAGAAACTCTTATTTTCAGACATGACACTTGAGTCTTTTTTTTAATTTATTTTTTTGAGACAGAGTTTCACTCTTGTCTCCCAGGCTGGAGCGCAATGCCATGATCTCGGCTCACTGCAACCTCTGCCTCCTGGGTTCAAGCGATTCTCCTGCCTCAGCCTCCCTAGTAGCTAGGATTATAGGCATGTGTCACCACACCCAGCTAATTTTTGTATCCTGACTCTTACTCATCAGTTTGATCATTTAATGGCTGGACAATAGCATAAGGTACTGATGTGAAAAAACAATATTTGAAATGCTATATAAGAAGCAAACAGAATATGTTGCAACAATTTTTTTTTTTTTTTTTGAAGACAAAGTCTGGCTCTATCACCCAGGCTGGAGTGCAGTGGCGCCATCTCAGCTCATTGCAACCTCCACCTGCTGGGCTCAAATGATCTTCCCACCTCAGCCTCCCGAGTAGCAGTACTACTCGGGCACGCACAATCATGCCCAGCAAATTTTTTGTATTTTTTGTAGACACAGGGTTTTGCCATGTTGTCCAGGCTGGTCTCGAATTCATGAACTCAACTGATCTGCCTACCTTGGCCTCCCAAAGTGCTGCGATTACAGGTATGAGCCAATGCGCCTGGCCCAAAAATGTATTTTTAAGAAGGAGAAATAGAAAGTAATTTTTTTCATCCTTTTAATATTCACATGAGACCTAACATTCCCTCTATAAAGTTGTGTACATTAATAAAAGTTTGACAAATACCAATTAGTAAAGACATTCCCTTTGCCCTTCTTAACATATTCATTTTTCTCTGAAAACTATTCTCAGAGCCAAGGACAGGCATGTAATGTCCAGGCCAGGGCTGTACTATATGACCTTGTCCTTCCGGCCAAAATTCAATTCTCTGTCTTATAATAAATCTGAGGTTCTGAGCTTTGAAAGAAAGTGAGTGGGAACTTTATTATATTGAAATATCTAAAGTATCTAAACTCTTCCTACTAAAATCCTTACTCTTTACAGAGCTTGAATGTTCATCTTCTCCTAAGATTCTGTGAGATATATTAATATCATTTGAATATATTTTCTTTTATGCCTAAATAAACCAAAGTAGGCTTCTGTTATTTGCAACCAAAAGAAATAGCTTAACATAATGTTAAAGCAAAGCTAGGCCAGGGATGGTGGATCCCTCCTGTAATCCCAGCACTTTGGGAGGCCAAGGCAGGAGGATTATTACTTGAGCTGAGGAGTTTGAGACCAGCCTGGGCAACATAGTGAGACCTTGTTTCTGTTAAAAACAACAACAACAAAAGCAAAGGTAATTTAATTGTTAATGTAAGTTGGTTGGGACTTAATCATATGAATCTCCCTTGGACTGTTCTAAGATCTTTTAAGTCTTGTTACAACACAATTCTAAGGATTTCAAAAGGTCATAACTCAGAGTTACACAAGTTTGTATGACCCCACTGGCATTAGATAAAAAATACATACTGAAAACCTTTTTTAACAAGCATGTTAGACCTCGAGGCGACCTTAAGAGATTCAGTCAGTTCAAACCACTAATTTCAACACACTCATGTTATCACTTCCCTCACTCCTCTTCCCTTCAGACTAAAAGGTTTGCTCAATGCTTGACGAACTTCTTCACACTTTTCCTTACTTAATAAGAGCTCCTCTATCTACACATCTAACTTTTCACAGAGTTCTTTGTTGGTTGCCCAATTTGGCAAATAAAAAATATAGGACACTATATTTAAATTTAAATTTCAGATAAATAACGTTTTAGTCTGTCTCAAATATTGCATGATTACTAAAAAAGTATTCATTGTTTATCAGAAATTCAAATTCGACTGGACGTACTGTATTTTACCTGACAACTCTAGCTCTGTGGAGCTGAAACAGCTGCCGGATGAGATTTATCTACTACCTATACAATAACAAGCAGTGAATTCTGAAAAAGTTTTCGTCAGCTACACAATTATGACGTAAACCTTTAGAGCTAAAAGGGACCTTGGAGACAACTAGTGCAATGCTCTCACTTTAAAGATCAAGGAAAGATGAAGTGACGACTGGGAGGAACATGACACAAATTATAAATGACCGGAAAGATTCCTAACTTGCATTTAAAAAAAATTATTTGTAAAAACCCACAAGAGGAATTAGTATGTGAAAAAACAAGCCAAGTTCATGGCTCTGAACAATGTTCACATACCTATCATCTCAAGTCCTTCCATGTTAGTAAATGTCAACCAATAAGGCTAAGCAACAACTAAAAAAATGTGACCAATTAGAGATCTCTTATAAATGGGATGATGTAAGTAAGTAAGATTGTGTATATAAAGCACCTAGTATAAAAGCTTAGCCTGTAAGAGGACTTCTAAATGTAGTTCCCTTCTCCTACTGGCTCATCTGTTTCCTCGGTCTAGAATACTAAAATATTACAATAGCTCCCTGTCTATTCTCACTGTCTCTAAACTCTATATGCCATCCTGAACTTTCAGATCAGAACAGTAGTCCTACTATATCTTGTTCAGAAACATTGCAATTGGCTGGGTGCGGTGGCTCATGCCTGTAATCCCTGCACTTTGGGAGGCCGAGGTGGGGTGGATCATTTGAGGCCAGGAGTTCCAAGACCAGTCTGGCCAACATGGTGAAACCCCACCTCTACTAAAAATACAAAAATTAGCCGGGCATGGTGGCACATGCCTGTAATCTCAGCTGCTGGGGAGGGTTAGGCAGGAGAATCACTTGAACCCGGGAGGCAGAGGTTGCAGTGATCAGAGATCGTGCTACTGCACTCCAGCCTGGGCGACACAGTGAAACTCTGTCTCAAAAAAAAAAAAAAAAAAAAAAAAAGAAAAGAAATTACAATTAATAAACAATGGTAAAATATTCAATCTCATTAGACAGCAAATAATTGACAATTTTAAAACTTCTAAGTCAAATCACCTAAAGTTCACCAAATGGCATGTGATGACTCATTCAGAACAATGCACAGTCTAATACATATAGAGTATATAGTAGGGGTATAAACTAAGTAGTTAGGAATATAGAGTAGCGAGGACATCATTTCAACTGCAATGTTCAGAAAACTGTAGAAGCAGCAAGATTTGACCTAGAATTTGAAGGATATACATTATTTTGATTTGTGAATGGAGAAAGAGGAAATTTCAGATAGAAAGAGCTACATGAAGGAGGGCATAAAAGTCGAGAAAAAATGCTTTATAATCTAGCCTCAAGTTTTCAACTTTTTCTTGCCATTGTGCCCCAATAGAGACACAGATGTCCATCAAGTGCCCTAAAATATGTACGGTGTAAGTTTTCTAACACCATTACCTTTGTTCAGGCCAATACTTCCCTTAACATCAGGGAACAAGTCTTGCACAACTCTGCAACCCTTATGTCACCTGCACAATACACATATTAATACTAGCTAAACCAGGGTCCACCATTCTTTCAGCTTTTCCCTTATTTCATTCATTACTTTCTCCTTCTAATCCTCCTAAATGACCAAGCTAAAAGATTTCATAATTTTATTAATATATAAAGCAGACAAGTACAATATTCTTTAAAAAGTTTTAACTTAAATCCTTGGAACATCCCCCCTTCATCCTGCCACCACTTTCTACCCCTTTCCCCCAAAACCTCTACTTTCCACCCCAAACTCCCTTTCGCCTTTGGGTTTGTGATTCTGTATGGGAAAGGTTCTCCTCCCACTTTAGGTTTTTAAATAGAGGAATGATAGCAGAGACAGACTTACTTTTCACCTATTTGAAACTTGCCCTCACAAATAGAACATAATATGTTTTTGTGTTCTTGATAAGAAGAGGAGGAGCAAAAGAGGACAAAAGAAGAATTGAAAAAGGAATAACAAAAATGTAGGTATCCTGCCTGACTAGAGAAATAAAAAGGGTCAGAAACACTCTAGTAAACCACAAAAACAAAATTTATTTTAGGCCGAGCGTGGTAGCTCACGCCTGTAATCCCAGAACTTTGGGAGGCCGAGGCGGGCAGCTCACGAGGTCAGGAGATTGAGACCATCCTGGCTAACACGGTGAAACCCCGTCTCTACCAAAAAATACAAAAAAAATTAGCCGGGCATGGTGGTGGGCACCTGTACTCCCAAATACTCGGGAGGCTGATGCAGGAGAATGGTGTGAACCCGGGAGGTGGAGCTTGCAGTGAGCCGAGATCGCGCCACTGCACTCCAGCCTGGGCAACAGAGCGAGACTCTGTCTCAAAAAAAAAAAAAAAAAAAATTAGTCACTAAACTTGCAAGAATAGATGTTTAAAACTAGCACGTGCCAGCCGGGTGTGGTAATCCCAGCCTGTAATCCCAGCACTTTGGGAGGCCAAGGCAGGAGGATCACGAGGTCAGGAGATTGAGACCATCCTGGCATGCAGTGAAACCCCATGTCTACTAAAAATTACAAAAAATTAGCCAGGCGTGGTGGCATGTGCCTGTAGTCTCAGCTACTCAGGAGGCTGAGGCAGGAGAATTCCTTGAACCCAGGAGGCGGAGGTTGCAGTGAGCCGAGATCGTGCCACTGCACTCTAGCCTGGGCGACAGAGACTCTGTCTCAAAAACAAACAAACAAACAAACAAACTAGCATGTGTCTATACGTTAAATATTGTTATTTTCTTAGCCAAAATTATAAGTTAGTCATCAGATAAAAAGTTGCATAACAAATCCTTAAACAATCTCTTATGATGGAGAAACAAAGCACTAATTGGAAAAGACATTCATCAGAAATGATCTTCATCACTGTAGTGCTGGAGGCTTACAAAGGTAACTTAATGGAATCAGGAAAAATAAAGTTTAACACCCTATTAACTAGGAGTCTATACCCACAATTTCAAGTGCAGTAAATACATCTTTTGAGTACCACTTTATAAAGCAGTACCATAAGGAATTACATTGCAGTCATCACAAATATGCCTACAGGATGATGGAAGGAGGACAGGGTAGATCTCTTAATGTTAAGCAAATATGTTCTTTAATAAATTTTCTGTGACAGCATCCTCCTTGGACTCAAACAGTACTGATTTCCAACACATTAGATGAAAGTACAAATACTATGCCCCTGGCCTTGGATGATAACTGAAAAACTAGGTCTGATAATAACAAAGACATTGACATCAAAGTGAGTATAAATAATCTGGCATACATTTCATGAAATATGATTACAAAAATATTTCTAAATCTAGATTATTCTATAAATGCATATGTACATACATACATGCATGTAACTAAATAAATAAAACAGGGCTACTTCATCTTCATCACCGGATGTTTATATAGTCAAACTGGCCAACAAATTTTGGAAGTGATCTTCTCCTTGGGAAAACAGGAGTTTGCTTTGGATTTTAAGTCAACTTACACCCAGGTATTGGATTATAATGTTTTTTTAAAAAAGTGTTCTTCGCCCTCCACAATTTCCTGAGGGTACTGAAGAATTCTGGTTTGTAGAACTATTTATCCCCACTTGAAATGATTTCATGATTTTTTTTCGAGTTGTTATTTCTACTTCCTTGACAGGGAATCTACTTCTAGATTCAGATTCAACATTTATTGGAGAGCTGCTATTTACTATGAATCATGACAGATACTTTCACAAAGCACTCATACAGACATTCAACGCTATCAACTGTTAACGTGGGTCACTAAAACCAAGATTTGCTGGTAAGAGACAGAAAATGCCAGTGATAGATGAGATGGGAGAGAAAAAGGCAATCTGGATCCTTACGCAGGATGACAAGTCAGCAGATCTTATTTTCTTGTTCCACAGGATAACAGCAACTGATGAATGGCTTAAATAATTATCTGAGCAATTTAGCATTAAAAATGTTACCAAACAAAATTCTATCTAAAACTCTACATTTTTGTTTCTAGAAGAGGGAGTTACTTGCCTCTGCCTCTGCTGTCAACTTTATCTTCTTTGCTATCAACTGTTTTATGTCAATTCGACCTACGGGAAGAAAAAAACATGACTTTTAAGTTGATGGATACAGCTACCTAGTAGCACTGTCTAAATCATAAAGTTGAAAACAAACAAATACAAAGGTAACTGCGTAAACTGTGGTGCAACCATAAAACACGACAGCATGGTCAAAATAACTAGAAGGAAATTTATACATGAAAATACTAAGAACAAAACTAGTAAATGTACACACAGTAATTACAACGATGTTAATTATGCAATGCTATAGATCTGATTCTGACAGCATGGGAAATTAGATTCCCTGAACAGATTCCACAGTTGAGACCACTAAGATGCTGGGTAAAATATTAAAAAACGAAAACCTTTTAAAACTTATTGCCAAGCTAGTACAAATTCAGAGGCAAAAAAAAAAAAAAAAGAAAGAAAAGAAAAGAAAATGAAACTAGAATCCTAGGGGACATATAAGAAACGTAAGGATTCTCGACAAATCCTAGCAACCTTGAAGCAACACAGGGTACAGTATTTTTGCAGAATAGTACACAGAGGACAATACTTTACAGAATGGCAAAGTCTAGGGCCTGCCCAAAATGGGAAGTCTAACAGGATACTGCCACGTAAAACTAGGGACCACACATAAGGCTACATCCTCAGTGTATAAGAAAGAAACCAAAACAGAAGGAAATCTGTCTGTCTCTACTTGATGCTGTGCAGAGAGGGAAAATTTGCCCCAAGAAATCATAACCCCCTCACTAGTGTTTGCAATCTAAATTCACACTATCTATGTGGTCTGAAAAATATGAGATAAATATGTTCTAAAGCTAACCCAAGTCGGGTCTCCAGGCTACTGGCAGACATAAGTGCAATTCCTCCCTGGAAGATTACAGTATCAATCAAGGCCGTACAGAATTCCAACAGATAAAGTTACCATAAAAAGAAGAGGCTTGTCCCAGCTATTCAGGAGGCTGAGGCAGGAGAATCACTTGAACCTGGGAGGCGGAGGTTGCAGTGAGCCGAGATTGCGCCACTGCACGCCAGCCTGGATGACAGAGTGAGACTCTGTCTCAAAAAAAAGAAAAAAAGAAAAAAAAGGAGAATAGTCAAACTTCATAAAACACACTAGGAAACTAGGCAGAATAAATGGGAAACAGCAGAAACAAAAGCCAAGAGATGCAGATCTGAAAAACTAAAGATAATGGAATTGTTACTTTTAGGACAAAAAAATCAGAATGATCAATATGTTAAGGGAAATAAAAGTGAAACTTGAAAACATAGAAAAGGAAGGCTGGGCGTGGGGGTGCACACTTGTAATCCTAGCACTTTAGGAGGCTGGTGGGGAGGATTATTTGTTGCCAGGAGTTCAAGACCAGCCTGGACAACATAGCAAGACCCCATCTCTACAAAAAAAAGTTTTAAAATTAGCCAGGCATGGTGGTGCACGCCTGTAGTCCCAGCTACCTGGGAGGCTGAGGTGAGAGGATCACTTGAACCCAAGAATTTGAGCCTGCAGTGAGCGTGATCGCACCACTGCACTCCAGCCTGGGCAACACAGTGAGACCCTGTCTCAAAAAAAAAAAGGAAAGAAAAAAAGAAGGAAAACATAAGCAAGTAACAAGAAACCATTTAACCAAACAGATTTGAAAACAAACAAGATTTCTCAAAACAAAAAAAAATTGAAGTTTCAAATTCAATGGATAAATTAAACAGTAGATTAAACATGTCTGAAGAGAGTACTAGTAAATGGGAATATAGATCAAAGGAAATTATACAGAGGATAGCCCAGAGAAATAGTGACAGAGAATAATAGGTTAAAAGACATAGAAGAGGTCCAACCAAACAGCCAATTGGAGATGGGAGCCAACCACAGCTGCGCTAGAGATGGAGGATAGTTCCACAACAAAGACTTCTGACTTGGAATTTCTGCAGACTATAATGGAGGAAATCATTATGTTATACAGTCTTAAGGTGAACATGAATGATAAAGATATAATGGTTCAGGCTATGCATGGTGCCTCATGCCTGCAATCCCCACACTTTGGGAGGCCAAGTGGGGAGGATCAGTTGAGCCTAGGGGTTTGAAACCATCATGGGCAATGTAGCAAGACCCTATCTCTACAATAAATGTTTTTAAAAATACAATGGTTCAAAAGAAAGTCTCAGAGGATCTATGCCAACGTGCCAAGAATAAAAAAAAATGCCATTCCTCAACCAGAAATGATTGCAAAGGATGACAAAGATTATGTCCAAGAATGTGAGTTCATGGCTGGGCGTGGTGGCTCATGTGTGTAATCCCAGCACTTTGGGAGGCCGAGGCAGGCGGATCACCTGAGTCAGGAATTCGAGACCAGCCTGGTCAACATGGCAAAACCCCACCTCTACTAAAACTATAAAAATTGTCCAGGCATGGTGGCAGACACCTATAATCCCAGCTACTTGGGAGTCCAAGGCAGGGACAATTGCTTGAACCCAGGAGGCAGAGGTTGCAGTAAGACAAGATCGCGCCACTGCATTCCAGCCTGGGAGACAGAATGAGACTCCATCTCAAAAAAAAAAAAAATACAAAAATTTGACAGGCCGTGGTGGCGTGCGCCTGTAGTCCCTGACACTTGGGAAGATGGCAGAACAATCACTTGAACCTGGGAGGTGGAAGCTGCAGTGAGCTGAGATTATGCCACTGCACTCCAGCTTGAGCAACAGAGCGAGACTCTGTCTCAAAAAAATAAATAAGTAAAATAAAATAAAAGAATGTGAGTTCATCAACTTTATAATATCTGATGCAAATAAAAGGTGCCATGAAGAAAATGGAATAAAAATTGAACTAAATAAGTCTAAAGACATCCCATATTCATTGACTAGAAGATTTAATATTGTTAATATGGCAGTGCTCCCCAATTTTTCTATAGATTTAAAGCAATACTCACTAAAATTTCACCTGGCTTCTTTGCAAAAATTGACAAGCTGATCCTAAAATTCATATAGAAATTCAAGAACACAGAATAGCCATACAAATCATGAAAAAAAAAATAACAAAGCTGGAAAACTCACACTTCCCAATTTTAGAGATAGACACATAGATGATCAATGTAAAAGAACTGAGAGTCCAGAAATAAACATTCACCTTTATGATTATTAATAATTGATTTTCGAAAAGGGTGCCAAGAAAAATGCGGAAAGATTCTTCTTTTCAACAAATGGAGCTGGGACAACTGAATAGCCACATGAAAAAGCATGAAGATGGACCTGGAACTCACACCATATGTAGAAACTAACTCAAAAAGGATCAAATACCTAAAAATATAGAAGAAAACAGGCCTTGGACTAGACAATGACTTCTTAAACACCAAAAGAACAATCAAGATTAGAAAATATAGAAAAACTATATTGATAGATTCTATCAAAATTTAAGTCACTTTTGTGCTACAAAGAACACCATCAAGAAAGTAAAACGACAACCCATAGAATGGGAAAAAAAAAAATTTGCAAATCTGATTAGGGACTTGTATCCAGAATACATAAAGAACTCTTACAACTCAACATTAAAAAGACAAATAGGCCAGGCATGGTGGCTTACATCTGTAACCATAGCACTTTGGGAGGCCAAGGTGGGAGGATCACTTAAGCCCAGGAGTTTGAGACCAGCCTGGACAATATGGCAAAACCCCTTCTCTACTGAAAATACAAAAGTTAGCTGGGCGTGGGATGCGCACTTGTAGTCTCAGCTACTTGGGAGGCTAAGGTGAGAGAATCGCTTGAACCTATGAAGCAGAAGTTGCAGTAAGCCAAGAATGTGCCACTGCACTCCAACCTGGGCTACAGAGCAAGACTGTCTCAAAAATAAAGTAAAATAAAATAAAAAAATAAAAAGACAAATAGTCCAATTAAAACATAGGCAAAGTACGCCAGGTGCGGTGGCTCATGACTGTAATCCCAGCATTTTGGGAGGCCAAGGCGGGCAGATCACCTGAGGTCGGCAGTTCGAGACCAGCCTGACCGATGGGGAGAAACCCCGTCTCTACTAAAAATACAAAATTAGCCAGGCATGGGTGGCACATGCCTATAATCCCAGCTACTTGGGAGGCTGAGGCAGGTGAATAGCTTGAACCCAGGAGGCGGAGGTTGCAGTGAGCCGAGATCGCGCCATTGCTCTCCAGCCTGGGTGACACAGCGAGACTCTGTCTTTTAAAAAAAAAAAAAAAAAAGGCAAAGTAACTGAACAGATATTTCTTTTAAAAAAAAAAGCCCAATAACCACACAAAAAGACACTCAACATCCCTGGCCATCAGGAAAATTCAAATCAAAAGTACAATGAGGTATCATTTCACACCCACTAGGATGGCTATAATCAAAAACACAAACAACAAGTGTTGGCTTGAATGTGAAGAAAGAAACTTCAACTATCCAGGATATTGCTGGTGGGAATGTTAAATGGTGTAGTGCTTTGAAAAACAGTCTGGAAGTTCCTCGACAGATTAAACACAGAGCCAACATAAGACCTAGGACTAGGTATATACACAAGAGAAATAAAAACATGCCCTCTCAAAAACTTGTATATGAATATTCATGGGCAGCATTAGTCATAATAATAGAAAGTGGAAACAAATACCCATAAACTGAAAAACAGATTAATAAAATGTAGTATATCCATAAAATGGATTAACAATAAACCAAAAGAAATATTAATACATGCTATAATATGGGTGAAACGTAAACATTTTGCCAAGTGAAAAGAGGAAGTCACAAAAGACTACATATCGTATGATCCTATTTACATGACAATGTCCAGAATAGACAACTACTGAGACAGACAAAACGCTGGTGGTTGCCTAGAGAGTGAGGCGCGGGGTTATGGCAAAAAGGGAATAACTGCTAATGGGTACAGGGTTTTGGGGAGGTGATGCTAAAAATATTCTAAAATTCATTTCATTCTAATTTCTCTGTTCTGAAATATTCTTTTCTGTATATTAAGTTACAGTAATGTAATTTCCTGGTGTTTAACCTGACTAACGGCGGTATTCTGACTGAGAATCTTTTTCGTAATTTTATAACAAAAATTGGATTTGAAAGGTATGACAGTATTTTTTATGAGAATGTGCTGCTCTGTATAACTCCTGTGTATGTATGGTGCATACTGAGCTTTATTATTGTCACAGATTTAGAGACAGTTTCTTATTTTCACACTGAATCATGGTACCATTATAATTTTAAAAGCAGTGGGATTAATTGATCTCTGCCCTTTTAATAAAATATGGGTAGAGTTTTGGGGGCTTTTTTTGAGACAGGATCTCACTCTGTCATCTAGGTTGGACTGCAGTGGCACAATCACAGCTCACTGCAGCCTCTAACACTTGATCTCAAGTGATCCTCCTGCATCAGCCGCCCCGCTAGCTGGGACCATAGATGTGTGCCACCACACCCAGCTAATTTTTTTTTAAGTGTTTTGTAGAGACAAGGTCTCACTATGTTGCCCTGGCTGGGCTTGACTTAACTCCTGGCCTCAAACAATCCTCCTGCCTCAGCCTCCCAAAATGCTGAGATTATAGGCATGTGTCACCATGCTTAGCCCAGGGTAGAGTTAATTTTGAATGCCATCTGCCATTATTCACAAATGAGTTTGTGAATAATGAGATACTAAATATCTTTATTCTATCCTTTTAATAAAGTGTCAAGTCATCTGTTATATTATGGGAACCGAGAAACATCAGACGTCATTATGTGCACAGACCTACACAGATAAGTGAATGAAACAGAATGGAATGAATACTGAAAACTGTGAAACAGAAAACCACAACGTCTAGTTTGCTATCTTCGTTAAAAAAAAAAAAAAACCTATGATGATGAACTATCACTTTGGCAGATGAATTTTTAAAATTGAGAATTTGTATTTTCTTATTTACTCTACATGGTAATAGCTTAAGTATTTTTTTTTTTTTTTTTGAGACGGAGTCTCGCTCTGTCACCCAGGCTGGAGGGTAGTGGCGCGATCTCGGCTCACTGCAAGCTCCGCCTCCTGGGTTCACACCATTCTCCTGCCTCAGCATCCCAAGTAGCTGGGACTACAGGCGCCCGCCACCACGCCCGGCTAATTTTTTGTATTTTTACTAGAGACAGGGTTTCACTGTGTTAGCCAGGATGGTCTCGATCTCCTGACCTCGTGATCCGCCCGCCTCGGCCTTCCAAAGTGCTAGGATTATAGGCGTGAGCCACCGCGCCAGGCCAGCTTAAGTATTTTTATTTCAGCATTGACAATTGCTATTGTATATTTTGCCTAAAAAGGAAGATTAAAAGCCATTCAAATTTATAAAAGTAATTTCCCAGAAAAAATACACTGAACAGAAATATTTACTTTGCCAAAATGAACTTTGGAGGCATATTTGGGGTAATTTAAGCTTAATAACCCCTTCCCTTAAAAACAAACCATAAAAACATAAAAACAAACTCATACACATACTGCTTTATAACCTGTTTTTTTCACTTAATATATTGTAAACATTTTTCTCTGTCATTACATATTCTTGTATATTATTTTCACTGCCCTATTACTCTGTTTTTATGGTAGAAATATAATTTAATCTTCTATTGGACATTTCTTTTCACAGTATGTCACTTGGAAGAAAGACATGAAGAATGAGAAGGTACAAAATGCATCTAATCAGAGCTCTATACAGAGAGATAATATTTGAGGTGATTATAGCTGAGAATTGGCCAGAACTGTTGAGAGACACAAATTCTAGGATAAAGTCAAAGAATTCCAAGCAGGATAAATAATCTACTTAGTGCCAGGCGTGGTGGCTCACGCCTGTAATCCCAGCACTGTGGGAAGCCAAGGCAGGTGGATCACCTGAGGTCGGCAGTTTGAGACCAGCCTGACCAACATGGAGAAGCCCTGTCTACTAAAAATACAAAATTAGCTGGCGTGGTGGCACATGCCTGTAATCCCAGCTACTCAAGAGGCTAAGGCAGGAGTATCGCTTGAACCCGGGAGGTGGAGGTTGCGGTGAGCCGAGATCATACCATTGCACTCCAGCCTGGGCAACAAGAGTGAAACTCCATCTCAAAAGAAAAAATAATAATAATAATCGACTTAGATATATCACAGTGAAACTGTCTGACGCAGGGGTTAAAAAAAAAAACTAAAAGCACCCAGAAAGAATATCAACTACGCAAGTACTGCAATTACAACGCATACCTGACTTAACATCAATGGAAGCCAGGAGACAGTGGAATGTCTTCAATTATCGATAATGGCAGAATTGATGACTGGGAAGAAGGCTAGGTCATATAATAACAAGGGCTTTGAGGAAACTAAGAATTTTATGCAGGAAAATACTGAGCTGATATTGGAAGATGGAAAGGACCACATAACAGAGAAATGCAATAAATCCGGACAAAAAGTGATGTTGTAAATGGCAAGGAGAATGGAGAGCAGAGGATTAATTTAAGATATTTACAAATTGGTAACTGATTAAGAAATATAAGGGTAAGACAAATGTCCATTTGATTTTTCAATAAGTTAAAGAATATATTTTTAATTTAGTTCTATGACCAGACCATGGTTTCATAAATGAACTATTTCATAAAAAAATGAAGACAAAAGCTTCTTTCCTTCAACTAATTCAGCTACCATGGGAGAGGAGGATTGGTAAGGAGACTGTAAAAGATTAATTCTCACTACTTGTGCATCCCTTCCAAAAAGAATCTGTCTATCCATAAATAACACGACAGCCATCATTACAAACAGGCTTTGAGATGCAGCCACTGGAAAGTTAGAAAAAAGATTTGTTCACAGAGTCTCTGAAGACCCCACTGAAAATGACAAAGTTAAGTAAGTGGAAGAAAAATATATTTTAAAATGCTAATTCATTTTCCTTTACCTTCAAAATACCTCTTCATACAATATTACAAAGAAATTCTTAACTTTCTACAATTTAAAATTTAAAAATTAGATGTCAAAGTCAAAAGAATGCCTAAAAGCTAATATCCACTGCTTTTTTTTTTTTAAGACAGGTTCTCACTCTGTTGCTCAGGCTAGGGGGCAGTGGCTATGGCATGATCATAGCTCACTGTGGCCTGGAACTCCTAGGCTCAAGGGATCCTCCCGCCTCAGCCTCCCAAGTACCTAGGACTACAGGCACATGCCACCACACTCACATGCCACCACACCCACCTAATTAAAAAAAATTTTTTTGTAAAGGCAGAGCCTCGCTATGTTGCCCAGGCTGGTCTTGAACTCCTGGCCTCCAGCAATCCTCATGCCTTGGCCTCTGAAACTGTTGGGATTACAAGGATGAGCCACCATCCCCACCCACATCCAATGATTTGAAGAACTATTTACAAGCACTCAACTCAAGGCTTCTCAATTTCTAAAACACTGACCCTGAAACAATGATAAGCCAGGACTGAGGGTGATGTAATTTCGGAATCATTTGCCTCCCTCTAGTAACACACTAACTGCTAACACTAGGAGTCAGTTATTTGCTATCTGAAACTTAATAGAACCCCGCATAAGTCCATAAGGAAAACTATTCAACATTTTTTCCCTTAAATTTCTGATTTCTAAAAAAATCAGGCTTGCAATACTTATCTTCATGAATAAATGCTATCTCTTTTAAAACCTGCTATACTTAATGGGAATGTTTAAAATTTATTCCTTGACATGTCAAAAATCTTATTTTAACCAGTTTTGATGAAAATTTTTGTAAAATTATGACATGCTTTGCTACCCTAAAAAAAACACCAGACTCCAGGCGTGCTGGCTCACGCCTATTATCATCCCAGCACTTTGTGAGGCTGAGACAGGAGGGTCACTTGAAGCCAGGAGTTTGAGACCAGCCTGAGCAACAAAGTGAGACCCCCCCATTCTCTACAAAAAAATAAAACAAAAATGTACTTTACCCTACATAATCTTCGGAACAAGTAAGAGAGATCCATTGTTGTACCATACTATTATAGTGATATCTTTAGCAAAAACGGAAATGTGGAGTGCAATCAGGCCCCACTCAGCAGTCCTGGGGAGCTGTGCCTTTCTACCTAGGCTGCTTCCACAGGGTTCTCCCTAACAATCGTACACTTCTATTACTATAGTCAATCTACCGCCAAAGCTACACAGAAGAAAAGAGACAAATAACCAGGCTTGTTAAATTGGTAACTAATTTACTCAATTTATATACTCATGCATTAAGTAAAAGCCCACTGAGGACCCAATACATGCAGGGCAAACCCTCCCTTCAGGATCTCAGGAGAAAACTACAAATAGGGAAAAGGACAATACAGAGGAGCGCTGTGGGAGAATGAGGGGTGTAGGAGGCTTTTGCAGGAGTCAATATTTGAACTGAGTCTCAAATAATAAAGAAAAATTATGGTGAACAAATGCTAGAAACATTATTCCAGGCAAAGGAATGAAGCATGAAGACTTGTTGGATTTTTCTGAGGCCTGAAGCTCAGTCAGATGCCTCTTAATGCCATGCTCTCTTTTCTTGACAATATTGTATTTAATAGGCTTTGGCCTAAGGGAAGCTTATCTACTTACTTTCTAGGCCACCAGTTACATTCCTGATCAGTGTCGTCCTATAAACATACAATGTGTGGCCAGGCACGGTGGCTCACACCTGTAATCCCAGTACTTTGGGAGGCCGAGGCAGGCAGATCACCGGAGGTCAGGAGTTCGAGACCAGCCTGACCAACATGGGGAAACCCCGTCTCTACTAAAAATACAAAATTAGCCAGGCGTGGTGGCGCATGCCTATAATCCCAGCTACCTGGGAGGGTGAGGCAAGAGAATCGCTTGGACCTGGGAGGCGGAGGTTGCGGTGAGCAGAGATAGCACCATTGCACTCCAGCCTGGGCAACAAAAGCAAAACTCTGTCTAAAAAAAATATATATATACATATATATACACACATATACATATATATATACACATATATACACACATATACATATATATATACACATATATACACAGACATACACATAAAATGTGAATCACCATGTGTAATTTTAAAATTTTTAGGAGCCACATTAAAAAGTAAAAAGAAATGGGTGCCAGTAAGTCTCTGAAATCTGACATATCATAACTATAGTGTTTCTCAATCCAGACTAGCCACATTTCAAGTGCTCAACCAGACTACATTAAACAGTGTACTTCTAGTGGCAACCATATTGAACAACGTAATTCTAGATCAAGAGTCAGAAAGCTTTTTCCGTAATGGGCAGTATAGTCTGCAACTATGTAACAACTACTCAACTCTACTGTGATAACAGGAGAAAGCACTACAAACACAAAAGAATGAACACGGCCACGTTTGCCAACTTTGTTCTAGATGGCCAAGTTTACTGTAAATCTGGTTGGCAAATAAAACAGACAAGTACACACACATTATTTTTTATAATGTAACACAGCCATGGTGAACACTGCCGGTTGCTTCCCAAATAAGGACATGCATGTCACTGCCTTTGCGAGAAACTGATTTAAAAATGGACCTGAGTATCAGACAGCAAAGAGATGACCCACTCAAGCTTATTGACTGGGAAAAATTTAAAGAGGTCCTTTTTCTAGTGTGTGGTCAGAGTTTAAGAAAAGCAACAAAGGATGGTAATAAGGATGATATGGAATTCTAGGGCTAGTAATAAACATCAGGAAAGCTGTTACCATCCTGAGGCCAGAAAGGGCAAAGCGGGTAAAGGGTTAGTGGAACCCAGAGAGAACTCTTTAGAGAGAAATATTAGAAAGGAGCAATGGTTACCTACCAGGGAGAGAACCTTAGTTATAAATACACCCACCTTACTCTCTGCTCTTAGATCTCCTGAAGTTCTCCCACTGGCCAAGCCTACCAGAAACACACAGGGCACTGGAGACTATTGTTGCAGTTCTTAACGTCAGTCTCCCAGGAAACAAAGTAGCGTAGAAAAGACTGGAGAGGCAAAAGGTAGATAGCCAGCATAACTTGTAATCTAACTCTGGCCAATGAGACACGAGAAGTCTGTAGGGGAATTTCTAGCGAAGGTTTCATCGCTAAAGAGAAAGACAGGGAAAGAGACAGTTTCTCTTCTGATAGAAGTCATCATTTTGGTTTTCCAGTTTTCTTAACCAGCACGGACTTACTAACCCTCTGTCATTATTTCTATCTGTCCCTTATCACCACCACCAATTTCCTGGACCCACCATGCCACACGCCGACTCCAGAAATTACCCGCTATCTGCCTTCTGATTCCAAATTGCCATGCGCTACAGAAAAAGTTAGGAAAATAGGCCCATTCTAAACTGCTGCAGTCAAGCCTTAGGCAGGCCAGCAATGAAAATATGCAATCTTTGTCTCTGCCTCTTGATGAATTTCTGTGACATTCCTCACAAAAGTAGTTGGAAACCTTTTCCACTTTCAAGTCCCAGCCCCACCAAGTAACTTTTAGTTGTTCAGTTTTGGTACCAAATCCTTAAATGTCTTCTATGTTTCTTAATTTTTGCTGTCTTTCAACCTCTTCTCCAACATTTCTGTGTCAGAGGAAAGAGTAGCCCATCTCTTTTTCAAGACTAACCCTTCAAACTATTATTGTCTTAATCATTCCCTATTCAAAAAGTTCAACCCACTGAGTCAATTATATTGTCCACATTTAAATTCAGAGACAATTTGTTCTTTAAAAATCATGTTTCAGAAATTATGATATGGATGTCATCAGTGATACTGAAAATAAAATCTGTAGTTCTACTAACACTTATCAAGTTATTATATATTTAATTTGTTTTTTAAAAATAAGTAATTGAACATCAAACCTATGATTTAACAATTTATTACTTAGGTTGAGAATAAATTTTCAAGTGAATTTTTTAAAGTTACATAGTAATAGTAATATAATGGCAAAATAACTGAAATTTAGAAACGATTTTTTTTTTAAAAACAGTCCTTTTGAAGATCACTTAACCCTCATGACATGCTGTACTTTTCCTTCTAATATAAAATGTTCTGAGAAAGAATTTTACACTTCTTATCTTTGTTTTCTTGCTAGCCAATAGTTTCCACCCATTTCTGCAACTCTTCTTTTCCCTGAAGACATTATGGCCTCCAAATTTCTAAATCCGCATCCTTGTTAAACTTGTTACAAATTTTAACATATAGTCTTGCTCTGTCACCCAGGTTGGAGTGCAGTGGTGCAATCCTAGCTCACTGCGACCTCTAACTCCTGGGCTCAAGCAATCCTCCCACCTCAGCCTCCTGAGTAGCTTCGGCTACAGGCACATGTTACCATGCCCACCTAACTTTTTTTACTTTTGTAAAGATGGGGTCTTGATATGTTGCCCAGACTGGTCTTGAATTCCCGGTCTCAAGCAATCCTTCCACCTCAGCTACTCAAAGTGCATGGATTATAAGCGTGAGCCACCACATCTGGCCTCATTTCTATTTTTAAAATAAAGAAACTGAGATTCAAAGAAATTGAACATCTTGTACACTGTCACATGGCCAATAAGTAACTGAGCCTGAAGAAATCCTTGTCTCCTGACCCCTAGTCATGCAGCATTGAAGAAAAAAAAAGGACAGCCAACCTATGTGATTACACTCATAAAGATGACTAAGGAATACTAAGCAGTGACTAATAACCAATTTTCAAGTTGCAGTTCTTTTAATAAATGTTTTCTTCATCTACTTGTGGCAAGAACAGAATTAGCTAACGTGTAGGCACTGACTAGTTTATTGCCTAGAAATTCAAACTCATTTTTAAATCCTGATTGTTTTCTAAAAAACTCTCATTGACCGTGTCTTATAATACCTACATTTCAGCTTCACTTTGTTCTCCACAAAGCGATACAAAAGTCACTTGAAAAGTCACCTTTATGTCCATAGTATGGTTAGGTTTAGGAGTATTTCTTGAAAGAGTCAATCACTTTTCAATCTTAACAATAAAAGGGAAGATAAGATAGTAAAATCCATCTGTAATCGTCTATTGCTCCACTGACCACAAAAACTTTACAAAGTTCTCAACTACTCACAAGTCTGCACTACTTCAGAAAAATGGAATCTGAGCCAGAAACGTGGATTAGTGCATGTTCATACAGAAACAGAGACTTAATAGATAATGTTGAAACAACTAACTAGCCATTTTGGAAAACTAAAAAATTAGATCCCCAATGATGAATGCATCACTCAAAAATAAATTTCATATGGATCAAATATTTCAATATAAAACACCACAAAAGTAAAAAAAAAAAAAAGTCATGTTTTCTTTTTGTCATAATCTTGGATGATTTCTAAGCATGACAAAAAAAATATCTATAAGCAGCCAGGCGTGGTGGCTCATGCCTGTAATCCCAGCACTTTGGGAGGCTGAGGTGGGTGGATCACTTGAGGTCAGCAGTTCGAGACCAGCCTGGCTGATATGGTGAAACCCTGTCTCTACTAAAAATACAAAAATTAGCAGGACATGGTGGTACATGCCTGTAATCCCAGCTACTCAGGAGGCTGAGGCAGGAGAATTGCTTGAACCCGGGAGGCAGAGGCTGCAGTGAGCCAAGATCACGCCATTGCACTCCACTCCAGCCTGGGCAACAGAGCGAGACTCCATCTCAAAAAACAAAAACAAAAATAAAAACAAAAACAAACAAAAAAAAAATTATAACAATTAAAAGAATATTTGATATATAAAAACAAAACATGGCAAAGCACACATACATAAGCAAAGTCAAAAGACAAATCACTAGTTTGATTAAGAAAATATTCAAAGTACATAATCAGAGGATTAATTTATTTAATATAGAAAAAGCTCTTAAAAATAATAACCACCAGATAAGGAATAAAAGTGAGCAAAGGATATGAACAGGGCTTTTAAAGAAAAAAAATACATGGTCAATAAATATGAAACAATTTCCCCACCTCACTTAAAATTCATGAGAACAAATTTATGCTATATGTATACTGTTTTTCACCCATCAAATCAGGAATTTTAAAAGACTGGTAAGATTATTGCCAAGAGTGTGGTGAAACAGTATAGTTAGGAATATAAATTGGCATAACATTTTTTAAAGGAAATTTGATAATGTCTAAATTTTAAATGCAAAAGCCCTTTGACCTAGCAATTTCACTTTTAAGAATGTATCCTGGCCAGGTGCAGTGGCTCACGCCTGTAATCCCAGCACTTTGGGAGGCTGAGGCAGGCGGCGCACTAGGTCAGGAGTTCGAGACCAGCCTGACCAACATGGTGAAACCCCATCTCTACTAAAAATACAAAAATTAGCAAGGCATGGTGGCGCACACCTGTAATCCTAGCTACTCAGGAAGCAGAGACAGAAGAATCGCTTGAACCAGGGAGGCGGAGGTTGTAGTGAGCCAAGATCGCACCACTGCACTCCAACTTGGGCGACAGAGTGAGACTCCGTCTCAAAAAAAGAATGTATCCTATAGGTATACCAGTACAAGTAAGCAATGATGCTGTTTCAATGATGCTCTCTGTAGCACTGCTTGTAATACTGCAACTTTGGAAACAGCCTAAGTTTCCATCAATAAGGAGCAAGTTAAATAAACCGCCAAGCATCCGTACAGCAGAAATACTACACAGGTATTTTAAAGAATTACATATACTAAATGAAAAGATATCTGAGACTTACAAAGTATAGAAGAAACAAATTGCAGAAGAGATCTCAAATATGATCCCACATGTAAAAAAAAATGTTACTTGAGGAAGTATTACTTAATAACTTTCTATAGTGTTTGAATTTTTTCAATGAGTATATATTACTTTAAATGTAAAAAAATTTATATGCATATTTGAGCAATTGGTTTAATAAAACCAAATCTTTTTTTTTTTTTTTTTGGACGGAGTCTTACTCTGTCACCCAGGCTAGAGTGCAGTGGCGCGGTCTCGGCTCACTGAAACCTCCGTCTCCCAGGTTCAAGCGATTCTACTGCCTCAGCTTCCTGAGTAGCTTAGATTACAGGCACCCACCACCACGCCCAGCTGATTTTTGTATTTTTAGTAGAGACAGGGTTTTATCATGTTGGTCAGGCTAGTCTTGAACTCCTGACCTCAAGCAATCTGCCTGCCTCGGCCTCCCAAAGTGCTGGGATTACAGGAGTGAGCCACCGTGCCCGGCCATCTGGGAACTATATTACTCAACTAGAGTAACTTTGGCTTCTTTTTCTTTTATCACCACATCTGTATCAACTGTGTAGGCTGCCTGTATATGCAAGAAGATAATCTGCCTTATTACCACTAAATTGTTACAACATCATATTATCTTGTTTTAAATCAAGAGATAATTTCTGGTAGGAATATTAGAGGATTTCATGTAGATTATAATTCTCAGTTGATATACAACAGGAGATTATAAAAGCTACCTCAGGAACTGGGACAGAAGAGTGGACAGCACTGCCAATAAGATAATACCTTAATGAGGCCAGGCGCAGTGGCTCACGCCTGTAATATCAGCACTTTGGGAGGCCGAGGTGGGTGGATCACCTGAGGTCGGGAGTTTGAGACCAGCCTGACCAACATGGAGAAACCCCGTTTCTACTAAAAACACAAAATAAGCCAGGAGGGTGGCGCATGCCTGTAATCCCAGCTACTTGGGAGGCTGAGGGAGGAGAATCGCTTGAACCTGGGAGGTGGAGGTTGTGGTGAGCCGAGATTGTGCCATTGCACTCCAGCCTGGGCAACAAGAGCAAAACTCCATCTCAAAAAAAAAAAAAAAAGATAATACCTTGATGAACACAGTGCTACATACGCAGAAAGTGCTTTCATATTTGCTATCCTTGGCTTTGCATAAAAGGTAACCTAAGCACTGACAAGCTGTAAGATTTGTCCAAAATCATTCACACAGGTAGGTCATCAGTCAATGACAATACATACAGTAAGACTTCAAGTCCTATTTTTTTTTGAAGTCTGCAAATCTTCCAGTAGTTAAGACCATTTTTTTTTAAGAGATGGGGTCTCACTATGTTGCCCAGGCTGGATTCCAACTCCTAGGCTCAAATGATCCTCCCAAGCAGCTCAGACTATAGATGCAAGCCACCACATAGAAGATGTTGATACAGTATTTCTGAGAACGGACATCACCTTTACAACAAAACCAGAGCCCCTATTAAGCATCCAGAATGCTACAGTAATCAAACACTGACCATTTCTTCTTGCATGTGTTTTGCTCTCCTCTTCTAGAAGCTGTAGATGTCTATTTAGTTTACCATCTTGATGAAGTTGCATCTACAACAGTCATGTCATCTGACATTCCTTCAACTACTGTAACTGTATCTATGTTTGAAATGTCTTACCCAACATTGTCATGATGAGGATTACAAGTGGCAGCAGCAGATATCCCACGCAACCCAGGTATACAATCATTTCTGACCAGCCGTCTGTTTTGGCAAACAGTGTTTTCACTCACAACTGCCAACTGCACAGATGTCTTCATTTTGAGGTATTAAAGGTGGTCTTTCTAAATCCAGAAAACATAGTCGTCTTTCATTTAACATTAAGTATGCAAGGCACTATTTTTAGTGCCAGAAGTTTAAAGGGAGCTGACTGAAAAAGTTTGAGATGTGCTGGTTTTGAAAAGGAAATGTCTTTATTATTTCCTACTACAACAATCCTCTCTGCCTTGTCACACTAGCATTTGTGACAGCATATGGTGGTGCTGCTTTTTTTTTTTTTTTTTTTTGAGATGGAGTCTCACACTGTTGCCCAGGCTGGAGTGCAGTGGCATGATCTCAGCTCACTGCAAGCTTCGCCTCCTGGGTTCACGCCATTCTCCTGCCTCAGCCTCCCAGTAGCTGGGACTACTGGTGCCCACCACCGCACCCGGCTAATTTTTTGTATTTTTAGTAGAGACGGGGTTTCACCGTGTTAGCCAGGATGGTCTTGATCTCCTGACCTCGTGATCTGCCCACCTCGGCCTCCCAAAATGCTGGGATTACAGGCGTGAGCCACCACACCTGGCTTTTGGTGGTGCTACTTTTAACGCTTCTGGAACCCTCATTAACAAATACCTTCAGTGTGTGCCATTTCACAATGAATTTAACTAATTTCCACCACCTTAGCAGCAGTAAAAGAAGGAAATACTGCCCAATCACCAAATGTATACCAATTACTGCTTGCTATTTGGCATTATGTGCTTCTATGCTTCATATCAAGTCCTTTGACTTGCTTCAATGTGCATGTGTCAAATTTAGAGCCACTTTTGTCCTCCTGGGCCCACTGGAGGGTCCCCAGCAAGGGCCACTACCCACTAGCTGCCAGGGCAGTTGGCTGGGCACTGAGAGGCTGTTGGAGCCTTATCTTCTTACTTACTTCTGGCCTTTCCAATTTGCTCTATACTCCTATCCATGAAAACCAACCACAAATCCATCTGTACTACCTACCCGTCACCCTCTCTAAAAGCAAACAAAACACCACACACACAACACTATACTGTCTTAAAAAGTCTTTGCAAATGCATACCTCTGTGGATTGAAAGCCCTCTCCCAGTCTTCTTATCTCAAAGGCCAAACTCAAAATCTACTTCAGTGAGACTTTCCTCCATTCTAAAGCAAGGGCTCCCCCAACCCCATCGGTCTCTATTTGGTTACTATAACTCACTTAGCTCCTATTTATAACAAAGGATTTTTTCTATTTGGGTATCTTATGCACACCAACTTCAAGCTCCCTATTAACAAACCTGGTACCCTATCTTACATTTAGATCAAAGGTGCTTAACTGACACCAGATTATTAATCTGTTGGCTGGAAGGCTATCATCAAAAGACAGATAATAAGTCTTGGTGAGGATATGGAGAAATTGGAACCCTCATACATTGCTGGTGGGAACATAAGAAGGAGTAGCTATTTTGGAAAAGTACAGCAGCTCCTCAAAAAGTTAAACATACATTTACCATGACTCAGCAACTCAACTCTTACGTATATACCCAAGAGAACTGAAAACATATATTCCATAAGCTTCTACACAAATGTTCATAGCAGCATCATTCATAATAGCCAATCATTGTAAATAACCCCCCCAAAATAAATATCAACTGACAGATAAGCAAACTGTATCATACCTATACAATGAAATATTATTCAGCCACAAAAAAAAAAAATGAAGTACTGATACATATTAAAACATACTGCTCAGGAGGCTGAGGCAGGAAGATCACTTGAGGCCAGGAGATCGAGGCTGCATGTGCTATAATCATGCCTGTGAATAGCCCCTGCACTCCAGCCTGGACAGCAGAGCAAGAGTCCACCTCAAATCAAAAAACCAAACAAACATGGAAAACATTATGCTAAGTGCAAGCAGCCACACACAAAGGCCACATGTTCTACGAATCCCCTTATAAGAAATGCCCAGATCAAGCAAATCCAAAGTGACAGGAAGTATATTAGTGGTTGCTAGAGGCTAAGAGGAGAGGAATGGGACTCCTTTCCAGGGTGATAAAAATGTTTTGAAATTAAACAGCAGTGATGGTTCCACAACCTTGTAAATATATTAGCAACCACTGAATTGTAAACTTTAAAATGGTGACTTTAATGGTATGCAAATATATTACTAAAAAATTAAAAGGAATGGAGGCCTGACATGGTGGCTCATGCCTATAAAACCAGCACTTTGGGAGGTCGGGGCAACCAAATCACTTGCCAGAGTTCAAGACCAGCCTGGCCAACATGTTGAAGCCCCAACTCTATTAAAATACAAAAATTAGCCAGGCGTGGTAGCACATGCCTGTAATCCCAGCTACTCGGGAGGGTGAGGCAGGAGGATCACTTGAGCCTGGGAGGTGGAGGTTGCAGTAAGCCAAGATTGCACCACTCCAGCCTAGGTGACAAAGCGAGACTATCTCCAATTAGGAGGAATGGAAGGAAAAAGGAAGAGAAGGGGATGGGGGAAAAGGGAAGAAACAAAGAAGGAGGAAGAGGGGAAGAAAAAGGAGAAAAAGGGCTGGGCATGGTGGCTCACACCTGTAATCCCAGCACTTTGGGAGGCTAAGGTTGGTGGATTACCTGAGGTCAAAAGTTCGAGACCAGCCTGACCAACATAGTAAAATCCCATCTCTACTAAAAATAACAAAATTATCTGCACGTGGTGACGCATGCTTGTAATCCTAGCTACTTGGGAGGCTGAAGCAGGAGAATGGCTTGAACCCAGAAGGCAGAGGTTGCAGTAAGCCAATATCGCACCATTGCACTCCACTCTAGGCAACAAAAGCAAAACTGTCTCAAAAAAAAAAAAAAAAGGAGAGAAAGAAAGGGCACCTAGACCAGGCTGGGCACGGTGGCTCACGCCCGTAATCCCAGAACTTTGGGATTACTCCCAAAGCACTTACTCCCCAAGGTGAATAAATGTTACAATATGTGAAGAAACATTTTCAAATTAGCATTATTTACATTAAACCAAAGAGGTTGTTACACTTCTTGATTTAAGCTAACCAATTCAATTTTTAACACCTGCACTAAAACCTGGACTGACTAAAACTTAATGAACTAGGACAATAAAGAACACTGAAAATACACAGAAATCAGAAGAATTTAGAATCTTTTTAAAAACTTGGGACATAAAGAGAATGATCATATACAGTGACAGAAAGTTTCAATTAAAATAACTTTTCTGTCCCAAGAACTGGAAGGAACAAACAAGCATGAAGTTTCTAATGCGTGAGAATGCAGGCAAGGGAAACAAACTGGGTTATCACTAAGTCCCTAAATCACGGAAGGAGAATTCTCCCCAGTATTGGCTCATCCTCCTTTGCATAAATTTCACATTTTATATCACACTAAAACTAGCCCATATGCCATATAAATATGTCATATATAGCTAACTAAGAGCCTATCAATAAACCTCATTATGCCAACTCAAGCAGCAATGTTTACATTCCTGGTGGGATCCAGCTGTTGATATTTAAGTTTAATTAAATTTAGGTAGGAAAAACAAAACTGTTTCTTTATGAAAAGAGATGAAATGCCAAAGACAACCTGTCTCAGAAGGTTCCGCACCTATTTGTTAACTAAACAATCCTCAATTTTCAAATCCTTGTTGAAATCAAACCTTTACAAATGTCACTGCAAAAATTAATACCCTGATGCAATAGATGACATCAATTAGAGTTGTGTTTACAAGTCTATCATTCATAATCATAAACCTTGACCTTAACAACAAAGGACTATCGTATTCCTCTTTGTAGTCAGGCATTAAGCAAACGTGGATACAAGAACTAATAAAACTCCCTAACTACTCCTCTCCCAAGATTTATAGCTCAGTATTGAACTGGGTTAGGCACCCTGCTAATTACTCACATTTTACTCATTACATCTATTATGAAAGTAGTTAATTACAAGAATATTACACTGTGATAAATCTAGTTATGTGTATGATTTTGGAGGTTTTGTCATTCACTTAACTTGGAGCTCCATAATGGCAAACAAATCCGTACTGATCACTGCTATAGCCCCAGCATCCAGCGGGGGACCTCAGCAATTATTGGTAGGTTACGTGACTGAATGAATGGTCTCTAAAACACAGCAGATACCAATAGATGACCACCAAATTAATTAACGAGAAAGGACTTATTGTCTAATTGCTTTGTTACTAGACATATAAAACTCTATCAATACCCATTTACAATAAAGAATTAAAGAGATGGCAATACTTATTCTATAACACTGTATTTGTTCTCTATTTCACTAATTCACCTAAAAAAAAAAAATTAAGCCTCACCATTACTAGGTGTCTCTAGGGACTCCTTTGCAGGGTTTCTCTGGTCTTCATCTTCCTCAGGATTTTCCCTGGACTTTGACAGCCGGTTTCTTAGAGACATCTTCTCTTCACCCACCATTGTATTGTCTAGGAAAGAAGGTGTAAAAAGCTTTCGTATTAGTCCGTTTTCACACTGCTATACACTACCTGAGACTGGGTAATTTATAAAGGAAAGAGGTTTAACTGTCTCACAGTTCCGCATGGCTGGAAAGGCCTCAGGAAACTTACAATCATGGCAGAAGACCAAGGGGAGGCAAGGCATGTCTTACGTGGCGGCAGGAGAGACAGAGCAAGGAAGTGCCACATTTAAAACCATCAGCTCTCATGAGAACTCCCTCACTATCACGAGAACAGCATGGGGGAAACTGCCCCCATGATCCAATCACCTCCCACCAGTTCCCTCCCTAGACACGTGGTGATTACAGTTAGAGATGAGATTTGTGTGGGGACACAGAAGCAAACCAATATATCAGCTTTGAACTAAGCATCTGGCTTACGTGAATTTCACAATACCACTATATTTAGGAGAGGTGAAATGTGATGATACATTCTCTTCCTTTTGCATTAATCATTTCAAAGCATTTTCTGGGTACAAGATACTCAAGATAACAAATCTGAAGAAATCAGGTCCTATAAAATAATTGGAATGGTTTTGAAGCCCCTTTTTAAACATAGACCCCACTCTTAAAGAACAATTTAGTTGAACAAAGCATTAAGTATGTAAAAAAAAAAAAAAAAGGATTAAATAGTAACAGGTAACTACAAAGATGCCACAGGGTGGAGTATGATTTAATAACAAAGTCAATGGTAAAAACAATACCTTAAGTTCAGAGACAGCAGAGATTAGCAGAAGATGTAAAGGTTTCACAGAAAAGAAGGTATTTTAGACACAGTCTTGAAGGATGAGAACTGTGCATTCCATGTGCAAGAAAGGATTAAAACAAGGACCTTATAAGCCCCGTTCAGGGAACCATGAAGGAATTGAACTACGACAAAAACAAGTTTTTGTTAAGTATCTACTAAGTGCAAGGACCCTGCCAGATGCTTTAAGTTTTCTCATTTAATCTTCATAACAATTCTGAAAAAAATTACCCTCAGTTTTCACATGAGAAAACAATGATTTAAAGTAGTTACTATCAGTGTCCTCCACCCATGTACCAGGAATACACCTGCAGTTGAACAAGCTGAATTTATAGGAATGCACACCACAGCCCCAGGTACTAGAGTCTGCTTTTCTTCTCATTACAGTAACTTGCCCAAGACCACACAGCTAACGACAGAGCCCGATTGGAACTGGCATTAGTTGGATCCAAACTACAAAGACCACTAACTACTGGGGGAAAATAGTTGGTAATGGAGAAATGTGATGAGGGAAAAGACTAGAAAGGAGGACAGGAGTCAAACTATAAAGGCCTAAGAAATTAGAAGTTTTTCAGGAAGGCAGTGGTGAGACACTTTAAGCACTAAAAAACATGATCAAAGATCAATATCAAGATAGTACAAGGTTTACTCTAAAGCCATGTGTTTCCCTAGTTGGGCATGGTGGCACACAGCTGTAGTCCCAGCTACTTGGGAGGCTCAGGCGGGAGGATGACTTGAACCCAGGAGTTTGAGTCTGGCATGGGAAACATAGCAAGACCACATCTCAAAATTATTTATTTATTTATTTATTGAGAAGGAGTATCGCTTTGCCCAGGTGGGAGTGCAATGGTGCAATCTCGGCTCACTGCAACCTCCGCCTCCTGGGTTCAGGCAATTCTCCTGCCTCAGCCTCCCGAGTGGCTGAGATTACAGGTGACTGCCACCACACGTGGCTAATTTTTGTATTTTAGTAGAGACAGGGTTTCACCATGTTGGTCACGCTGGTCTCGAACTTCTGACCTCAAGTTATCCGCCCGCCTCAGCCTCCCAAAGTGCTGGGATTACAGGCATGAGCCACCGCACCCGGCCAAAAAAACAATTTTAAATAAAAAGTAAAGCAGTGTTTCACTATGTGATAAAGTTTTCAAGAGTCTAAAGCAAGAAGAAAACAACTGTGAAATACTCATTACATTATTTTAAAGCTATATATATTTAAATTCTGAGACTACAGTTTTTCTTAATTTTTGTACTAAAATATCCTTTTCTGTATAAAAGGATGAAATATAGTACATGGTGGGTTTGGTTGTTTTTCAACTATCACAGCTTGGCAAAGTAAAAATCTGACAAATCTAGATCGGCTTTCTTCTAATTATTTCTGAAATCAAACAAATGAAACAATTGTGGAACAGCAGATGAATATATCAAGTAGAAATGTTATGATATCATAAGATCTAATTAAGAGGAACTTAAGGGAAAAGTCAGGGCTAATAAATCACAAGACGATGCCCAACTTACAATGGTCCAATTCTGTGTAAAAGTGACAGAGGAAGCCACAAGAGCATCTATCTCTTCATCAGAAATGATGAGAGAAGTAAGAACTGAAAACTAAACTTTGAGGGACAGCCTCAAAGTAGAGGAAATCAGGGAAGAAAAAGAAAGACACAAAAGGAACCAAGATGTTTCAGTAAGAGAGGAATTTTACAAGGAATAATGGGAATTTTTTTTTTTCTGGCCAGATGAACAGAGACTTTTTTTTTCTGGCCAGATGATGGGGAATTTAAAGTAGATACTCTTTTAAAGAGCATATAGCAAAAGTTTAAAGCATAAAAGACAGCAAAATGAAGCCGGGTGCGGTGGCTCATGCCTGTAATCCCAGCACTTTGGGAGGCTGAGGTGGGCAGATCATGAAGTCAGGAGATCAAGACCATCCTGGCTAATACAGTGAAACCCCATCTCTACGAAAAATACAAAAAAAAAAAAAATTAGCTGGGCATGGGGGCAGGCGCCTGTAGTCCCAGCTACTCGGGAGGCTGAGGCAGGAGAATGGCATGAACCCAGGAGGCGGAGCTTGCAGTGAGCTGAGATCACACCACTGTACTCCAGCCTGGGCAACAGAGCAAGACTCCGTCTCAAAAAAAAAAAAAAAAAAAAAAAAAAGATAGCAAAATGATTAAAAAATAAATGCCAGATTAAAGTTTATTACCCAAGCCATATGAAACAGTATAGCACAATGCAATATTTCTCAAAGTAGAATAATAACAGCTGATTTTTTTTAGTGCTTATGTGTTTTACATGTATTATTTTCATCTCAACAGAATCAAGACAGATACTATTGTTATTTTCCAAATATTCTTTGGCCACCATAGTGTCCCATATACTCTTCCCTGTCTATAGAAAGCTATTTCTCCTCTGCCCTTTTTTTATGTAGCTAACTCCTACTCAAGCCTTCAAAGAATCACAGCTACAGCAGTAATAGAATTAATACCAACAGTTCTGATTTAATGAGCACCTATTATGTACCTCTAGGCACTGTGCTGCTAAACTTTTTACATTACATTTAATCTTTACAACCTTAGATAAGTATTATCCTCATTTTACAGATGAGTTTAGGGAAGTGATTTAACTTGTCCCAAATCAAATAATTCTCCAACAGCAGAACTAGAATTCAAAACAAAGACTATCAGATTCTACAACCTGCCCTCTAATCGCTAAACCGCCTCCAACTCACCCTCTGAAGTTTCCTTTACCACCACCTCTCATCTCATCCTCTCTGCGGTCCCACTACACTGAGCATCCTGTCACATGTTACATTGTCCTATAATCAGAGAGCAATACTCTCTGTCTCTTACATTAGGCTTAAGTTCTCAAAGATAGGGATTACATAGTATTTTCTGTAAGACTCCCCCAAATCTAGTGTGGAGTACCTGGAGTACAACAGGCAGGCATTAAGAAAGAAAGCAAATGTATCAGTTAATATGTAACCAATTATTCTAAGCACAAGACAGTCCCCAACTTATGATGGTTCAATTTAAAATTTTTCAACTTTATGATGGTGCAAAAGCAACATGCATTCTGTGGAAATCATATTTTGAGTACTCATACAACTATTCTGTTTTTCACTTTCAGTATAGTATTCAATAAATTACATGAGATAATGAACACTTTATTGTAAAATAGTCTGTGTTCAATAATTTTGCCCAACTGTAGGCTAATATTAAGTGTTTGGAGCATATTTAAGGTACACTAGGCTAAAACTACCCAAAAAACATTTAGCCCGGCGTGGTGGCAAGCACCTGTAATCCCATCTACTCAGGAGGCTGAGGCAGGAAAATCACTTGAACCCAGGAGGCGAAGGTTGCAGTGAGCACAGGTCGCACCTCTGCACTCCAGCCCAGACAACAGAGTGAAACCCTGTCTCCAAAAGAAGAAATATAAAAAGGGAGTCCTTGGTAATAAGATGGTTCCTCAACCATCAAGCTACTCTAGAGGAAACCTTACATCAAAAGCTAAAACAGGGCCGGGCATGGTGGAATACATCTGTAATCCCAGCACTTTGGGAGGCCGAGGTGGGCAGATCACCAGGTCAGGAGATCGAGACCATCCTGGCTAGCCTAGCACGGTGAAACCTCGTCTCTACTAAAAATACAAAAAATTAGCCAGGTGTGGTGGCAGGCACCTGTAGTCCCAGCTACTCAGGAGGCTGAGGCAGAAGAATCGCTTGAACCCGGAGGTGGAGGTTGCAGTGAACCTCAATCACACCATTGCACTCAAGTTAGATCAAGTCACTTCACAACTTAAACCCCTTCAAACATCCTAAGTCCTTACCATGATCTAGTAACTTCTGCATTGCCTGCCACTCACCACCACCCCCTTAAACACCATCAATCTTTTTTTTTTTTTGAGACAGAGTTTCACTCTTGTTGGTCAGACTGGAGTGCAATGGCACGATCTCAGCTCACCGCAACCTCCGCCTCCTGGATTCAAGCGATTCTCCTGCCTCAGCCTCTGGAGCAGCTGGGGTTACAGGCCACCACACCCAGCTAATTTTGTATTTTTAGTAGAGATGGGGTGTCGAACTCCCAACCTCAGGTGATCCGCCTGCCTCGGCCTCCCAAAGTGCTGGGATTACAGGTGTGAGCCACCGCGCCCGGCATTTTTTTTTTTTTTTTGAGACGGAGTCATGCCATGTCGCCCAGGTTGAAGTGCAGTGGCATGATCTTGGCTGTCTCATTTTCTCTACTCATTACTTTGGCCTTCCACTGTTTCTTAAACAAGCGCACCGGCTCACGCCTGTAATCCCAGCACTTTGGGAGGCTGAGGCGGGTGGATCACAAGGTCAGGAATTCTAGACTGGCCTGGCCAAGATGATGAAACCCCGTCTCTACTAAAAATACAAAAAATTAGCCAGGGGTGATGGCAGGTGCCTGTAATCCCAGCTACTCGGGAGGCCGAAGCAGAGAATTGCTTGAACCCAGGAGGCGGAGGTTGCAGTGAGCCGAGATCGCGCCACTGCACTCCAGCCTGGGTGACAGAGCTGGACTCCGTCTCAAAAAAGAAAAGAAAAGGACAGGACATGGGATATTTCACAATTGGGGGACATTAATAGCTATGATTTGATTACATGCACAGTTTTAGGAGGAAGGACAAATAAATATATTGGAGTACACCGCCAGTAAGTTGAGGAAGTGAAAACAGTGATCATAAGACTAGTCTCTCAAGAGGTCTAGCAGTGAAGGAATCTCTAGCGTTTAGGAAGCAGGTAACAAAGTGCTGAGTGCAGTAGGTGTAGCACATATCTCATTTAACATGTCCATTTTTAAAGATGCAGGAGATTCAGAAATGCTAACAAACTTGTTCAAAGTCACAGGTAACATAAAGCTATTCCCCCCCAGGTAACAAAGCTAAGTAGACAGCTATTTATACAACACACTGATTGAAAAAGAATTTCTTAAGAATCTAATCTGTGCACGCAATTACATAATGTTCAGTGTGATAAGCATCTAACTTATCTTAAGAAAGCAAAACAAAAAGAAATGATTTGAGAAACAAATGAACTTGGAAAGACATGTCAACTTTAGCCTGCCTCCGTGTTCCCATTAATACAGCTTTCAAAAGAGCCCATAAATCTGTATCACAAATACTGAGTGCCTACTCCAGGTAAAGAACTTTGCCACATCACCCTTAGATTCAGTGGTGGAAAGGGGACACAACTGTGGATAGAATTTACAATCCAGAGCAAAAAAAATTTCCCTCTGGCACCCAAAGGTTGGCCCTAACACAACGCTACAACTTTTACATATCACAGAACTAGGTCTTTAAGTAATTAGCAAAACTAAAGAACAAGAACAAATTCTCATTTACATCTGTATGGTTAGTATAATCTCTTATTAACCAATGTGGCAAAAAAAATGCAAAACAAAGCCATCCTCTTAGAAAAATAGAACTTGGCTGGTCTTTGTTAAAAACTTTTTCCCATAGGAAAAAGGGACTCTTCCCTGGTTAATACAGTAGTTCTCCCATATCCATGGGGGATACGGTCCAAGACTCCCAGTGGATGCCTAGAACTGTGAATAACAGTGAACCCAATACACGTTGTTTTTTCCTATACATACCTATTATAAAGTTTCATTTACAGGCTGGGCACAGTGGCTCACGCCTGTAATCCCACCTCTTTGGGAGGCCGAGGCAGACCGATCATCTGAGATCAGGAGTTTGAGACCAGTCTGGCCAACACAGTGAAACCCTCCCTGTCTCTACTAAAAATACAAAAATTAGCCGGGTGAGCTGGGCGCGGTGGCTCACGCCTGTAATCCCAGCACTTTGGGAGGCTGAGGCGGGTGGATCACCTGAGGTTGGAAGTTCGAGACCAGCCTGACCAGTAAGATCTGATCAGTCTTTACTAAAAAAAAAAAAAAAAAAAAAAAAAAAAAAAAAAATTAGCCGGGCGTGGTAGCACATGCCCGTAATCCCAGCTACTTGGGAGGCTGAGGCGGAGAATCGCTTGAACCCGGGAGGCGGAGGTTGCGGGGAGCCGAGATCGTGCCATTCCAGCCTGGGCAACAAGCGCCAAACTCCATCTCAAAAAAAAAAAAAAAAATTAGCCGGGCGTACTGGGACACGCCTGTAATCCCAGCTACTTGGGAGGCTGGGGCATGAATATCCCTTGAACCTGGGAGGCAAAGTTTCAAAAAGTTAGGCACAGTAAGAGATTAACAATATACTGTATTAAAATTCACTTGAACATGGTATCTCTCGAAATGTCTTATTGTACTCTGTTTCGCACCTCAGGTAGCTGAAACTACAGAAAGCAGTTAAGTGGGGATCACTGTATTTCTCATTCAAAAGTTCCTTCCTCTGTCCACCAACTTATTCATTCTTTCTCTGGGCCAAGTGCTGGACCAGACCCTGAAAATTACAACAGGCTAAACCAGCCTTCATGAAATGCACTAGCAGAGGAAACAAAGCAACTAATTCATTACAATTAATGATCAACTTCTGCTAAGGAGAATAAAGAGTTCATGGAGGGCTTAATGGGGATGGGGTGATTTCCAGAGGAAGTGATATGTGGGCTGATATCTGAGGCAGGTATAAGAGTTGGAGGGAGGGAGAGAATACAGCATTAGAGGTGGAGGAAACTCCTAAAAGCCAAGAGAGGAAAGAAAATGAAGCTTTCCAGTAACAAAAATAAAGCCAGTGTGGCATGAACCTGGAAAGCCAGAAGGAAAGTGGGCCAAATGAACCAGAGATAGAGTGTGCTCACTCAGTAGGTCTTTATCCTAAAAGACTGCGAAACCTCAGATGCATTCTAAGCATGTGATTCACTAAAACACGTGCATTTCTAAACGATAATTCAGTGCCACAGAGCTCCTTCCAAAACCCATTCTCACACCCAGACAACGCACAGACTTCCTTAACAAGTCATTCACTGACACCGCCCAACTTTTAAAAAGAAAAAAAAAAAGCTTCAAATTGAATTCTACTTCAAGGAAGAGGAAATCAAGCAGGCTGAAAAAAAGAAAAAAGTGGTTTAAACAGGTGGCAGCCACTTAAATATTAAAAAGTGACCAACAGGCCAGGCGCGGTGGCTCACGCCTGTAATCCCAGCACTTTGGGAGGCCGAAGCGGGCGGATCACTTGAGGTCAGGAGTTTGAGACCAACCTGGTCCAACATGGTGAAACCCCGTCTCTACTAAAACTACAAAAATTACCTGGGCGTGGTGGCGCACGCCTGTAATCCCAGCTACTCAGGAGGCTGAGGCACAAGAATCGCTTGAACCCGGGAGGCAGAGGTTGCAGTGAGCCGAGATTGCGCCACTGCACTCCAGCCTTGCGACACAGCGAGACTCCGTCTCAAACAAACAAAAGTGACCAACGAACTTAACCTAAATATATATACGGAGAATAAAGTTTATATAGTTGTTTCTCACTTAGAAATAACCTTTCAATATACATATTATTTAAATTACATGACCATTAACACTTAGGGAAAACAGAAACTTACCTACATCCTAATATTTTACAATAAAACATGAGCTTGATTAAAGGTTCTGGTGCCCCTACAGATTTTCATGTCTTGCTAATACCATCCTTCCCTTCACACATTTTCTCTAAATCATTAAAAAGCTGACTTCCTGAGTGCATTTTTGGTTTCGCTTTTTAAAGAATAAAACGTCTTCTAATTCCTAACTTTCTTTACTACTGACTTGAGAGATGCCACGAGATTTGCGGAACACCAAACCAGCGTGCAGGGTTTAAAAGGCTGCCCGTGACCCGGGCGCCTGACGGTAACTTTCCCGCCCTCCCCTCCCCAACTCCCCTGCAGTCGCCGAGCCTCGCCTTCTCCGCAGCACAGCCCAGGACAAGGCCGGGCCGGAGCTGCTGCCGCCACCGCTTCTCCCTTCCCCGCGGGCTGAGGCCGGTGGACCCAAGCGGGAAGCGAGGAGAGGCGCGGGAGCACCACCGTTACCTGAGGCCCGCGCCCGGCAGCGGGCACTTCGGCCAAGAGGGCAGAGCCGGGAAGCGGTCACAGAGCAGCCAGCAGGAAGGTCGACTCCGGGAAGCTCTCCTGGCGCCCAGGGCCCGCAACGTCGCCTGCTAAGCTAAAGCGCCGGACAGCCCGGCCCCTACGCCCCCTGCCTCCGAGCACCGCTGCGTCACGCGCAGGGCCACCTCCGGCTGAGCATCCTATTGGTGGTCCCCAGGTTGCCAGGCTCCGCCCACCTCCCCGCCCCTTCCCGGGCGCGCGGGTCCCCGGCGCCAGTGCTCGCAGGCTGGCCCTGGCAACCTGCCAAGGAAGCTTCTCACCCGGACATCATGATACCGGCGACAACATCTTGCTTGACACTTCCACCCCAGCAGTAGAATGTGCAGCCAAAACGGGACTGCGACAACTCCCTGCAAGCCCGAAACGGCACCCTGCGTGGTAGCATGGAGCTGCAGGGGCGTTTGGCTCCTAGGCCGACTGGAAGAAGCCGCTTCTGGAGCTGTGGATCATTGCAGTTTGAACTGACCATCCAGGAACAACGTAGAACTAGCCAGAAGCAAGAATCGCTGGCTTATCTGCACACCAAGATTCGTGCCTTTATCAGGAGATTCCTTACCGTTTGAAAACCAGCGTCCTTCAGCAACATTCAAACTAGATAAGGGGAAAAAACCTGCACCAAATAATAAAACACACCAAATAATGGAACAACTAAGTAATATTTAAGGGCCCTTGAGGCCAGGTGCGGTGGCTCACGCCTGTAATCCCAACACTTTGGGAGACCGAGGTGGCTGGGTCACCTGAGGTTAGGATCGAGACCAGCCTGACCAACATGGTGAAACCCCGTCTCTACTAAATACAAAAAATTAGCCGGGCTTGGTGGCGCGCGCCTGTAATCCCAGCTATTCGGGAGGCTGAGGCAGGAGGATTGCTTGAACCCGGAAGCCAGAGGTTGCAGTGAGCCTAGATTGTGCCATTGCACTCCAGCCTGGGCAATAAGAGCTAAACTCCTTCTCAAAAAAAGTTTTAAAAATAAAATAAACAAAGGGCCCTCGTGACTTCATAATCAAAAGAAGAATGATGCAGAGAGATTTGGGACAGAGATTAAATACAACAGTTAATCGCTTGGAATTTGTGAAGGCAGAGGTGTACGTAAATTTAGGGTAAAGGTAGGTGAAAAGGCAATGATGAGAGGAGCAGAGACTGAAGAGTCGCACTCACAGCCTGCAAACTAATACCAGCTAGCCTGGCCTGACTAATCGCTTCTTCCCCACTCCTCCCCAGGACAAAAATCCCTGAACAAACAGATGAGGTTTAGCAGAACTGACTACTCTCTGGGTCCTTTAAACAAAGTGGATTTGTACACGTTCCCTTGGCCACCCAGCAGGCTGCACTGTTCACTCAAAGCAGAAATGGCCCTCAGCATCCAGTCGAGTTTAGTACTGGCTGTCATTGGCAGATCTGCTCCGTTTGGCCTCTTCTACAACTGTGATTGCCACGTGTGCTGACTAGTTGGTGACAGGGTCTGGTAGACCCCCAGCTGCTTCCCCTCCCCACTCCCACTAGTTATAGAGCAGTAGGAACATAGGCACTCATTTCTATTGGGTCTCTGTTGGCTACCTTCTATATACACCAAGATGACTGGCCTTTTCACTGTTTGATTCATTCATTCAAAAAATATTGATAGTATTCTTGGTGCTAGAAATACAGTGGTGAATAAACAGAAGAAGCCCCTGCACTTAGAGGCTTATGTTCTGCAGGACTAGGTATGAAAGGAAACAAACAGGTGGCTCAAGCCTATAATCCCAGCACTTTGGGAGGCTGAGGCAGGAGGATCACTTTGAGGCCAGGAGTCCAAGACCAGCCTGAGCAACATAGTGAGACTCCCTCTCTACAGAATTTAAAAACAACAACAACAACAACAACAATGACAACAAAATTTGCTGGGAATTGTGGCAGGCCCCTATGGTCCCAGCTACTCGGGAGGCTGAGATAAGAGGATTGCTTGTGGTGGGGGATGGGGGGTGAGGGACGGAGGATGCAGTGAGCCAAAAAATCATGCCACTGCACTGCAGCCTGGTCAACACAGTGGGACTCTGTCTCAAACAACAAAAGCTTATGTTTCTAATGAAGAATATAAATAATAAAACGAATAGATGAGATAATCACTGGCAGTGATAAGTACTGAGCAGAAAACAAAACAGAATGGTCAGGGAAGGATTTTCTGAGGAGATAATTCAGGAGCTAAGACCTAAATGACAAGAAGGAGCCAGCCAAGCCAACCATGGGGAGGAAGAACATTCTAGACAGAGGATAATGGGTGTCAAGGCCCCGATGCTGAACTGTGGCTGATGCTGAAGCGTGGCTGTTTGAGGAACAGGCCAGGAGGCTTGAGCATGTCAAATAGGGGTTTGAAGTTGAGTTTGGAGCATTAAGCAGGAACCTAATCACGTTGTTTGGATTTATCTGTTAAGTGCAAAGGCAAGATAATGAAGGGTTTGGGTTTTTGTTGTTTTGAGATGGGGTCTCACTCTGTCGCCCAGGCTGGAGTGCAGTGGTGCAATCAGGGCTCACTGCATCCTCTACCTCCCCAGGCTCGCTAAGTCATCTTCCCACCTCAGCCTCCCTAGTACCTGGGACTACAGGTGGGCGTCACCACACCAGACTAATTTTTGTATTTTTTGTAGAGACAGGGTTTCGCTGTGTTGCCCAGGCTGGTCCTGAACTCCTGGGCTCAAGTGATCCTCCCGCCTCAGCCTCCCAAACTGCTGGGATTACAGGCATGAGCCACGTGCCCGGCCATTGGTTTATTTTTTTTTTTAAATCAACCTATTTTATAGAGAATGACTTGAAGGGAGCAGCAATGGAACAAAAAGGAGCCGAAGAACAATACAAAGTTATTGGGCAAGTTCAGGGGGTAGATGGTGGTACCTGGACTAGGCTGGTTGGTGTGGAAATAGAAATTGAAAGATTTCAGGATATTTTCCCGAGGTGCAGGTGTGAAGAAAGGTAGTAAACGAGATGACTCCCAGGTTGTTTCCTTAAGCAATTGAGAGGATGGGGATACCATTTAGTGCAAGGGCAAAGATGATATATGATTGGAGGGACTCCAAAGCCTGTGCTCAGACTCCAAGCCTCTCCCACCACTGCACTGAAAATCTCACATTACTCAATCCTTGGAAATCAAGGTTTGGTTAAATGCAAGTGTTGACTTCATCATATTGAAAAAAAAACAGGTGTACAGAACTTGTATAGTTGCTAGTGCTAAGAATATGAATAAGACTGTCTATTGGAGACACTAATAGGTATAAGCCATTTCAAAACAATGAGATAAGTGTTACAATAAAAGGATGTTAAAGGCCAGGCGTGGTCGCTCACACCTGTAATCTCAGCACTTTGGGAGGCCAAGGTGGGCGGATCACCTGAGGTCAGGAGTTCGAGACCAGCTTGGCCAACATGGTGAAAACCTGTCTCTACTAAAAATACAAAAAATTAGCCGGGTGTGGTGGCAGGCGCCTATAATCCTAGCTACTTGGGAGGCTGAGGCAGGAGAATCTCTTGAACCTGGGAGGCAGAGGTTGCAGTGAGCCGAGATCGCGCCACTGCACTCCATCCTGGGCAACAGAGCAAGACTCCCTCTCAAAAAGAAAAAAAGAAAAAGATGTTAAAAAAAATTCTTTACAGTGGCTCATGCCTGTAATCCCAGCACTTTGGGAGGCCGAGGTGGGCAGATCACTTGAGGCCATGAGTTCGAGACCAGCCTGGCCAACATGGCAAAACCCCATCTCTACTAAAAATACAAAAAATTAGCTGGGTGTGGTGGCAGGCACCTATAATCCCAGCTACTTGGGAGGCTGAGGCAGGAGAATCGCTTGAACCCGGGAAGTAGAGGTTGCAGTGAGCCGAGATTGCGCCACTGCACTCCAGCCTGGGTGACAGAGCGAAACTCTGTCTCGAAAAAAAGGCTGGGCGCAGTGGCTCACCCCTGTAATCCCAGCACTTTGGGAGGCTGAGGGGGGGCAGATCACCAGGTCAGGAGTTTGAGACCAGCCTGACCAACTTGCTGAAATCCCATCTCTACTAAAAATACAAAAAAAAAAATTAGCCGGGCGCCACGCGCACACCTGTAATCCCAGCTACTCAGGCAGCTGATGCAGGAGAATCGCTTGAACCCGGGACGTGGAGGTTGCAGTGAGCAGAGATCGCGCCACCGCACTCCAGCCTGGGTGACAGAGGGAGACTCTGTCTCAAAAAAAAAAAAAATGTGTTTACCCAACAGGGTCATTGTGTGGATTAAATTGGTTAATGCCTTCAAAGCTTCACATATAGACACTGGTATATAGAAGTGCTCAACCAATATTAATGGTTTTTGTTATTTTATTTTTATTCTTATTTTTGGAGACAGGTTTCTTGCTCTGTCACACAGGCTGGAGTGCAATGGCATGATCGTAGCTCACTGCAGCCTCAAACTTCTGGACTCAAACTGTTCTCCTGCCACAGCCTCCTGTGTAGCTGTGATTAAAGGTGTGAGCCACCAGGCTTGGCTAACTGCTATTATTATTGTTTATGTTATTATCTTCTGAATACAGTGGGAGCAGGTTAATGATGATCACAGCTGGCGGTTGGAGGAGAGGGAAGGGAGAATGGAAGAAGGCTAACTGAGCCCAGTTTTCTGAACCAGTAGGAGGAGTTTTGTCATCAGGGTAGGGAGGAGGAACATTCCAAACAAAGGAAAAAAAAATCAAGGTCAAAGGCCACAAGGCAATAAGGAGCCAGAACCATCCAGGAGACATGAAGGAAGTCGTGAGTATTGTTAAAGGGGCCAGAGGTAAAGCCAGTGTCAGGACTTAAAAAGTTTGTAGACCATGTTGAGACATTCTGAGCCATACTCTTTTTGTTTTTGATGGGAGTGGGGTGTAGACAGGGCCTCACTCTGTCACCCAGGCGAGGGTGCAAATCTTGACTCACTGCAACCTCTGCCTCCCAGGCTCAAGCAATCCTCCCATTTCAGCCTCTGAAGTGGCTGGGACCACAATCACCCGCCATCATGCCTGGCTAATTTTATTTATTTATTTATTTATTTATTTATTTTTGAGATGGAGTTTCGCTCTTGTTGTCCAGGCTGGAGTGCGATGGCACGATCTTGGCTCACTGCAACCTCCGCCTCCCGGGTTCAAGTAATCCTCCTGCCTCAGCCTCCCAAGTAGGCTGGAATTACAAGCATGTGTCACCACACCCTGCTAATTTTGTATTTTTAGTAGAGACAGGGTTTCTCCCTGTTGGTCAGGCTAGTCTCAAACTCCTGATCTAAGGTGATCCACCCGCCTCGGCCTCCCAAGATGCTGGGATTACAGGCGTGAGCCACGGCACCCGGCCAAATTTTTTTTTTTTTGTAGAGACAGGGTCTTACTACATTGCCTAGACTGATTCGTATGTTTATAGACAGTGAGGAGCCAGTGAAGGATGTTAAGTAGAGGGGAGTTATGATTTAGGAGACTGTACTGGAGGCGATGCAACTGGAGGTGGAGAGATCAATTAGAAGGGTGATGTGGTAATACAGGTGAGAGATGATAGAGGCCTAAACTAAGGCAGTAGCAAATTAGAAAGAAAGAAAGGGACATATTTGAAAGATAGTTAAAGTGACAATTGACAGAATTAGACAGTGTTTGGATAGTGGCGGCGAGGTATTAAAGATGTATCCAGGATTTATGACTTAGCAGTCCAGGTGGTTAGAGTTAATGCTGACCGAGATAAGAAAATACATCCTGGAGAAGGAGCCAGAATAAACTTTACCTGGGTTAATATTTAAACTGCGTTAGTCCACCTTCTACTAAGACCTGAAGGAACTGAACAAGAAGCAATGAACTTTCGTCCTGTTTTGACAATAAAGTAGCTTTCACGTGTTTTCTGTTTATATCAACAATGCATACTATTGGCAGAAAATAAAATCAAATACAGAAAAATACAAAGATAAAAGCCATCTAATATTCTATCCAGAGATGCAGCTAAATGTTGCCGGGGAGAAGAAAAGAAACAATGGCTAAGGCCTGCTGCCAGAAGGCACTGGGTTCTACAGGGGAGACAAAAAGGGAAACTGAACAAAAATCAAACCAGGTTTTTAAAACACAAACAAAACATCTCAGTTCTTCAAAGAACCACAACTCCCTTAGTGATACCAAACAGGCAATAAATCTTTACCCCATCCCAAGTATGTATAATTTCGCCACTGGCATTCGCTCAAGCATAGGGAAAGCAGATTAATCTGGAGTTAAGGTTTTGTGATTGAGTAAGACAATGAGGCAAGGGTGTAAACCAGGACATAGACCTTCATTGAAATGTTTCTGAAAACTCTTGAAGGGCTGGAATCCTGTCTTGTTTATCTCCCAAAGCACCTAACGCAATACCTATAGGTTACCCAATAAAGGGATTGAATGAATTAAGAAAGCAACTGAAAGCATGAGGTCCTAGAGTGTGGGTCAACCTCAAAGACAACAGGGGTCAGACACATTCCTCCTCTCAGTGATCCATTCATCCATCCATCTTTCTTTCTTTCTTTCTTTCTTTCTTTCTTTCTTTCTTTCTTTCTTTCTTTCTAGACAGAGTTTTGCTCTTTTTGCTGAGGCTGGAGTGCAATGGCGTGATCTTGGCTCACTGCAACCTCCGCCTCCCAGGTTCAAGTGATTCTCCTGCCTCAACCTCCTGAGTAGCTGGGATTACAGGCATGTGCCACCATGCCTGGCTAATTTTTTAGACTTTTAGTGGAGACAGGGTTTCACCATGTTGGCCAGGCTGGTCTCGAACTCCTGACCTCAGGTGATCAACCTGCCTTGGCCTCAAAAAGTTCTGGTATTACAGGTGTGAGCTATGGCTCCCAGCTGATCCAGTCATCATCTTTCAAGCTATATCATCACTTGTTTTTCTGCAAGCAGAAGTCTTTATATACAAGGGAGAGAGTAATCTATGCTGGTTAAGAGAATCCATCCTGCCTACATGGATTTTCTCTAGCTCTAAATAGCAAAGTACATTCTAGGCACCACCAGAAGTGTAATGATAGTTCAAAGATGTACACATATAAGGAAACAGCATCAAGAGTTTCTCAAGCACCACTGGTGAATGGATACTACCATCTGACTGTCCCATGTAGGAATGGAATAACTGCCACACAGCTGTGCTTGCCAATGACGCAGTTCATCTTTTCTGACATTACTACCAGAATTTATTCCTTTCTCCAAAGGAAGGGGCTAATTTTCTTTATTAGCCTAATATGTATTGTTTTTATTTCCATGAGGAAGACAGATTTATTCCTTATTAGATAAATAACACAAGCTTGGCCAGACACGGTGGCTCACGCCTGTAATCTCAGTGCTTTGGGAGGCTAGGTTGGGTGGTTCACTTGAGGCCAGGAGTTTGATACCAGCCTGGCCAACATGGCAAAATCCCATCTCTACTAAAAATACAAAAATTAGCCGGGCGTGGTGGTGCATGCCTGTAATCCCAGCTACTTGGGAGGCTGAGGCATGAGAATCACTTGAACCCGGGAGGCAGAGGTTTCAATGAGTCAACATTATGCCACTGCACTTAAGCCTGGGCAACAGAGCAAGACTCTGTCTCAAAAAACAAACAAATAAACGAAACCACAAGCTTGCTGAAAAATTCAAAAAACATATACGATTATTAAGGAAGAAAATAAAAATCACTCAAAATTGAAATAATCACCTTTAACACTTTAACATGTTGGTGTCCACTCTTTCATAGAATTCTTTATGAATATAAACACATTCAAATATTGAATTTTTTCACTGAAGCTTTTGCATTTGTGAATTTTTCTTAATACACTGTTTTTAGACAGATTCACACTCTGTCGCCCAGGCTGGAATGCAGTGGCATGATCTTGGCTTACTGCAACACCTCTGCCTCCCGGGTTCAAGCAATTCTCCTGCCTCAGCCTCCTGAATAGCTGGGATTACAGGCATCTGCCACCTCACCCGGCCAATTTTTGTATTTTTAGTAGAGACAGGGTTTCACTATGTTGGCCAGGCTGGTCTCAAACTCCTGACCTCAGGTAATCTGCCCGCCTTGGACTCCCAAAGTGCTGGGGTTACAGGCATGAGCCACCACGCATGCCAGGCCTACATACTTTATTTTTTAAAGTATGTTTGTTTTTATTTTGTTTTTTGAGACAGAGTGTTGCTCTGTCGCCCAGGCTGGAGTGCAGTGGCGCGATCTTGGCTCACTGCAAGCTCCGCCTCCTGGGTTCACACCATTCTCCTGCCTCAGCCTCCTGAGTAGCTGGGACTACAGGCGCCTGCCACCACGCCCGGCTAATTTTTTTTGTATTTTTAGTAGAGACGGGGTCTCACTGTGTTAGCCAGGATGGTTTCGATCTCCTGACCTCTCAATCTCAAGTGAACCTCCCAACCTAGCCTCCCAAAGCGCTGGGATTACAGGCATGAGCCACCGCGCCTGACCCAGGTTTGTTTGTGTGTGTGTGTGTGTGTGTGTGTGTGTGTGTGTGTGTGTGTGAAGGAGTCTGGCTCTGTTGCCCAGACTGGAGTGCAGTGGCACGATCTTGGGTCACTGCAACCACTCCCTCCCGGGTTCAAGTGATTCTCCTGCCTCAGTCTCCCAAGTAGCTGGGATTACAGGTGTGTGCCACCACACACGGCTAATTTTTTGTATTTTTAGCAGAGACAGGGTTTCACCATCTTGGCCAAGCTGGTCTTGAACTCCTGAACTCAAGTGATCTCCCCACCTCAGCCTCCCAAAGTGTTGGGATTACAGGATTGAGTCACCCCCCACGGCTTAGAGCAGCTTTAGATTCATGGGAAAGTTAAGCAGAATGTATACGTACCACCTACCCCCATAAGTGTACATATAGCCTCCCCCATTGTCAAAATCCCCCACCTGACTGGTACATTTGTTCCAATTGGTGAACCTGTGTGGACACAGCATTATCACCCAATGTTCATAGTTTACATTACAGTTCACTCTTGGTATTGATATTATTTTTTAAGGGCTTTATTGGTGACCTATAGCTCATCTAGAAGTAATTAATTTATTACCCGGTAACAAAATAGAACTTGATTTTGTTTAGCCCAAGTGTATTCCTCTTTCTGAGTTCACAAAATATGCCTGAGTCAATTTTCTGTATTTAGTAAACTTTTGCTATAATTTTATGTACTTTAATTACATTCCTTTTAAACCTTCACTCTTTGAATATTGAAAATTCCCAGTCTTTCTGGACTATCATACTATAGCTTCTCTTTTAGCCTCCGCGACTAATACCTTGCTTGAACATCTTCATATCTTTAGGCAATTATGTTTTCCTTAAGGTTTAGATGATTTGATGCACCAGGGTATAGTGTAATGGTAGGATCAAATTTTTTTCTGTCTGTTTCGTTGTGCCTTTCCAATATTGCTTAACCTTGGGATCCTTTGAGGGCACAGGAAAATATTGAGCTTGTTGACAGTGACTCTAAGACATGTTTCTAGGATTATAAATTATATCTCAGAGCCCAACTACACTGTAAGTACAATTTTCCCCTCAGTCTAACTCACGCTTCTCTATGTTGAAGCTCAGTTTTACTCACTGAGCCAGGCTCTTGAGCTTTTCCCCTTTTTTTCTTAAAGAAGTTGCTCTCTTAAAAAAAAAAAAAAAAAGAAAAACAGTAATTATCAACATCATGGGGCCAGGCTTACTGGCTCATGCCTGTAATTTCAGCACTTTGGAAAGCCAAGGCAGTTGGATCACTTGAGGTTGGGAGTTCAAAACGAGCCTGGCCAACATGGCAAAATCTGTCTTTACTAAAAATACAAAAATTAGCTGGGTGTAGTGGTACATGTCTGTAATCCCAGCTACTTGGGAAGCTGAGGCAGGAGAATTGCTTGAACCTGGGAGACAGAAGTTACAGTGAGCTGAGATTGCACCACTGTATTCCAGCCTGGGCAACACAGCGAGACCCTGTCTCAAAAACGACAAAAAAAAAAAAAAACCCTAGTGAGACAAGGTCTCACTATGTTGCCCAGGCTGGACTCAAACTCCTGGGCTCAAGCCATCCTCCTGCCTCAGCCTCCAGAGTAGCTGAGATTACAGGTGTACACTACTGCAATCAGCTTTTTTTTCCCCATCAGATTGGTATTTCTCTACAAAGTGATGTGTAAACCCAATGTTTTTCCTGTGTATTTCTATGTTCACATTATATGTTAAAATGTTGGATGAAACGCAGGCCCAGGGAAACTTACCTTTGTTTTCTATTTCTGACATTTTTTCTTACCTAGGGAAAAGTGATTTTAATAGGCTTTTCCTACAGAAGTCTTGCAAGGACTTTTCGAAAACAAATTTTTATCTGTGATCCTCCCTTTCCCAGACTTTTTCATTTTAGGATATCCTTTCCATCTTACCTGCCACTGTCCTAGTTAAGGTCATTTTTGCTTCTCACCTGTAATTTCAGTCACAATTGCACCCTTACAAGTATCCACACCTTTATTATTTCCTCAGCAACCAGACCAGTCTTCCCAGAATGATGCTAGAATTGTGTTATTACCCTACTCAAAAAGCTTCTATAGCTCCCTATATCAGATACTGCTAGCTGCTTACTCAATATCCATTTTCCCTTTTTCTTTAGTAACAGAATTCTGATTTTATTCTGGACAGTAGCGAGTGTACCTGGTTAGAAGGCCAGAGTGGGCTGGGCATGGTGGCTCACGCCTGTAATCCCAGCACTTTGGGAGGCCGAAGTGGACGGATCACCTGAGATCAGGAGTTCAAGACCAGCGTGGCCAACATGGTGAAACCCCGTCTCTACTAAAAATACAAAAAATGAGCTGGGCGTGGTGGCGGACACATGTAATCCCAGCTACTTGGGAGGCTGAGGCAGGAAAATTGCTTGAACCCAGGAGGCGGATGTTGTAGTGAACTGAGATTGCGCCACTGCACTCCAGCCTGGGCAACACAGCAAGGCTCCGTCTCAAGAAAAAAGAAAAAAAAAAGGGCCCGGCGCAGTAGCTCACATCTGTAATCCCAGCACTTTGGGAGGCCAAGGCAGGCAGATCATGAGGTCAAGAGATCGAGACCATCCTAGCCAACATGGTGAAACCCCGTCTCTACTAAAAATACTAAAACAATTAGCCAGGCATGGTGGCATGCCCCTGTAACCACAGCTACTGAGGAGGCTGACGCAGGCGAGTCGCCTGAACCCGGGAGGCAGAGGTTGCAGTGAGCCAAGATCACGCCACCACACTCCAGCCTGGCGACAGAGTGAGACTCCATCTCAAAAAAAAAAAAAAAAAAAAAAAAAAAGCCATAATGTCTAGCTTTCCCTATAGCGTGAGGTATCCACTGAAATGTAAATAGAATTTATTGGATGGGTTTTCAGGAAAACTCCTGTAAAGGGGTGATAACTTATCTGAGAATTGCATATTTTTGTGTCTCTACCCCTTTTTCTTTGTCTAGGAAATAAATATAATATTTGGATCCCCAGCCACCATTTCAGACCACAAGGAAACTATGAGGATGAAATTCATGACTAAGAAGAGTTGAACAGAAAGAGAGAATGAGCGAGTGACTGTGGAGTCTTGATGGGAGTCCTGAGTTGTCTATCTACAGAGTGCTTTATGTGACACAGAAATAAATTCTAATTTTATTTACCCATTTATATGGATCTCCTTTTTTTTTCATGTTTTGAGACAGAGTCTTACTCTGTCGCCCAGACTGGAGTGCAATGATACAGTCTCGGCTCACTGCACCCTCCGCCTCCCAGGTTCAAGCGATTCTCCTGCCTCAGCTTCCCGAGTAGCTGGGAGTACAGGTTTGCACCATCACGTCTGGCTAATTTTTGTATTTTTAGTAGAGACAGGGTTTCACCATGTTGGCCAGTCTGGTCTCAAACTCCTGACCTCAGGTAATCCACCCGCCTCGGCCTCCCAAAGTGCTGGGATTACAGGCATGAGCCACCATGCATGCCAGACCTATACACTTTATGCTTTAGAGCAGTGTTTTTTTTGTTTTTTTTTGTTTGTTTGTTTCTTTTTTTTTTTTTTTTTTTGAGATGGAGTCTGGCTCTGCTGCCCAGGCTGGAGTGCAGTGTTGCGATCTCGGGTCATTGCAACCTCCGCCTCCTGGGTTCAAGCGATTCTTAGGCCTCAGCCTCCTGAGTAGCTGGAATTACAGGTGCGCGTCAGGACACCTGGCTAATTTTTGTATTTTTAGTAGACACGGGGTTTCTCCATGCTGACTATGCTGATCTTGAACTCCTGACCTCAGGAGATCTGCCCTCCTCGGCCTCCCAAAGTGCTGGGATTACAGGCGTGAGCCACCGCGCCCGGCCTTATATGGCTCTCCTTTTAATGCAACTAGACCTAACTCTAATGAACACACTAGCTACTACCTACTGAATCAGGCACAAATTTTTTAGAGTAGCGTTCAAGACCTTACATAGTATGGCTCTAAAGTCCAAAGATTAAAATACTAAGCAAATATTTTTTGACTTGTATCTTCCACTATACTCACACTCATATACAGTCATAATGAGAATACCATGATTCCTTGGCTCTGTGTCTTTGATAATTCTCTTTTTTATCTTGAATGCCCATGATTTAAGTCTTGGATAATTCTCTTACCTGCTTTGCAGTTTACCTTTACTCTTACATCTCTGCCTGCTGAAATCCAATTCACTTTTATAGATGTAGTTCAAATGCCAACTCCTTCTCAAAACTCTTTTATTTCCACAAGATTCTTCATTAGCTACCACAACAAAGAGCTCACCTGAGGTTAAAACAAACCCAAAAGAATGGCTTCAAAATCTACTCCTGCCTGAATTTAATTAAATCTGCTTATGGAACAATTTATGTCCCCGAGAATTGTTGAAAACAATAGAGCAATTAGTGGAAAACAGCAGGCAATTAGTGTAGCCTAGTAGCTGGATGTGATAACCAATGAAGCATCTAGCTTAAAAGAAAAATCAAGAAAGAGTTAAGCTGAGAACTTTGCTGAAATCACTGCATCCCAGGACAGTCCTCCAAGGAGTGACACAAAAAGCTTCACATTGCAGGGGAAATAGACTTCACTAAAACAGCTATGTCCCTAAAATAAATAAATAAATTAATTAATTAATAATGACAATAACAGTAATAAAAACAAGCTCTGGAGAAGGGTAAAGGGAGTCAGTATCCAGAGTTGCTATGGACTAAATGTCCAGTTTTCAACAACGACAACAAAATTATGACACATGAAAAGAAACAGAAAAGTGTGACTCTTATATAAGGAAAACAAACACAAAAACAGGCGACAGAAATACCTGTGTGAGGGCCCAGATGTCAGATTTAACAAACAATTCAAAGAACAAAAGGAAACTGTGCTTTAAAAAGTAAAGAGGCTGGGCGCAGTGGCTCACACCTTAATCCCAGCACTTTGGGAGGTCAAAGCAGGCAGATCGCCTGAGGTCAGGAGTTTGAGACCAGACTGGCCAACATGGTAAAACCCCGTCTCTACTAAAAATACAAAAAATAGCCAGGTATGGTCGTGGGTGCCTGTAATTCCAGCTACTCGGGAGACTGAGGCAGGAGAATCGCTCGAACCCAGGAGTCAGAGGTTGCAGTGAGTCAAGATCGCGCCATTGTACTCCAGCCTGGGCGACAGAGCAAAACTCCATTTCAAAAAAAAAAAAGTAGCCAGCATGCTGGCTCACGCCTGTAATCCCAACACCTTGGGAGGCTGAGGCAGGTAGACCACGAGGTCAGGAGTTCAAGAGCATCCTAACTAATACAGTGAAACCCTGTCTCTACTAAAAATACAAAAAATTAGCTGGGTGTGGTGGCAGGCGCCTATAGTCCTAACTACTCAGGAGGCTGAGGCAGGAGTATCACTTGAACCCAGGAGGTGAAGGTTGCAGTGAGCCGAGATTGTGCCACTGCACTCCAGCCTGGGCAACAAGTGAGACTCCGTCTCAAAAAAGAAAAAAAAAGTAAATGAAGCTATGCGGTCAATGTCTCATCAATAGAGAATATCAATAAAACCATATAAAATATTTTTAAGGAGCCAAATGTAAAGACAAGAATTGAAGGTACAATTGAAATGAAAATTTTTCTGGAGGACCTCAACAGTAGATTTTAACTGACAGAACAAGTCAAACTTGAAGATATGTCAATAGAGATAATGCAATTCAAAGAACACAGAGGAAGAAAAGAATGAAGGAAAGGAAACAGGGCCTCAGAGAAATGTGAGACACCATTAAGTGCATCAACATATATGTAACGACCAGAAGGAGAGGATAGAGAAAGGAATAGGAAAAAAAATACTCATTCCAAGAAGTAGTGGCTGAAAACTTCCCAGATTTAATGAGAAACATTCATCTAAACATCCAGGAAGCTCAACAAATTCCAGATAGGACAAACTCAGTCAGGTGCGGTGACTCACACCTATAATGTCAGCACTTTGGGAGGCTGAGGGGGGCATGTCGCATGAGACCAGGAGTTTGAGACAAGCCTGGCCAACATGGTGAAACCCCACCTCTACTAATATTACAAAAATAAGCCATGCACGGTGGTGCACGCCTGTAATCCCAGGTGCTCATGTGGCTGAGGCATAAGAATCACTTGAACCTGGGAGGCGGAGGTTGCGGTGAGCCGAGATCATGCCACTGCACTCCAGCCTGGTCGACAAAGCAAGACTCAGCCTCAAAAAAACAAAACCAAGTAGTACAAACTCAAAGAAATCTACACTTAGACACATCGTAATAAAAATGTTGAAAGCCTAAGGAGAAAATCTTGAAAGTAGTAACTTATTGGGAAACCCAATAAGATTAACAACTAACTTCTCATCAGAATCAATGGGGGCCAGAAAGCAATGGGATGATATGTTTCAAGAGCTGAAGGAAAGGGAAAAAAAAAGACCTGACAACCAAAAATCTGAGAGCCAGAAAAGCTATCTTTCAAATATAAGGGCAAAATAAAGACATTCACTGATAAACACAATGAGATTTTTTTTTTTTTTTTTTTTTTTGGCTAGCAGACCCACCTTACAAGAACTAATAAAGGAAGTTCTTCAGGCTGAAAGCAAGTGGCTCCAGTAATTTGAATTTATGTGAAAAAAACAAAGAGCACTGGTAAAGGTAATTATGTAATTACAAAAAAATAGTATATTTCTTCTTCTTTCCTCTGTTACTTGATTTAAAAAGCAATTATATAAACCAGTATATATGTTCCAAATTGTTAGATAAATGTAACATATTTAGCAATAACCGCACAAATGAGGTACATAGGAGCAAAGCTACAGCAAGATGGTAACTCTGGAATCCACAGGAACTAATGAGGAGAACAAGAAATGGTAAATAGGAAGGTTAATGTAACAACTCTATAAATATATACTTGCTCTCTTTTCTTTTCACAGCTTCTTTTTTCTCTCTTGTGGTTTTTTTTTTTTTTTTTTTTTTTTTTGAGATGGAGTCTTGCTCTGTCGCCCAGGCTGGAGTGCAGTGGCACGATCTCGGCTCACTGCAACCTCCGCCTCCCAGGTTCATGCCATTCTCCTGCCTCAGCCTCCTGAGTAGCTGGGACTACAGGTGCCTGCCACCATGCCTGGCTAATATTTTTTGTATTTTTAGTAGAGACGGGGTTTCACTGTGTTAGCCAGGATGGTCTCGATCTCCTGACCTCGTGATCCACCCGCCTTGGCCTCCCGAAGTGCTGAGATTACAGGTGTGAGCCACCATGCCCAGCCACATCTTCTTTAATAGAGATACAATTATATAAAGTAATAAGTATAACAAAGTATTTATAGGTATAAATATATAGCCATATATAGATATCATTGGTATAACAATATTAATACAAAAGGAGAAAGAGGGAATAGTGCTATATAAGAATAGTATTTCTTTTTTCTTTTTTCTTTTTATTTTTTTTGAGATGGAGTCTCGCTCTGTCACCCAGGCTGGAGAGCAGTGTCATGATCTCGGCTCACTGCAACCTCCGCCTCCCGGGTTCATGCCATTCTCCTGCCTCAGCCTCCCGAGTAGCTGGGACTACAGGCGCCTGCCACCACGCCTGGCTAATTTTTTGTATTTTTTAGTAGAGATGGGGTTTCTCTGTGTTAGCCAGGATGGTCTGAATCTCCTGACCTCGTGATCCACCCACCTCAGCCTCCCAAAGTGCTGGGATTAGAGGCACGAGCCACCACGCCCGGCCAGGAATAATATTTCTTTACCTCACAGGAATTAACTTGGAATAAATCTGAACAAGACTCTGCTCAGTTAAGATGATATGGTAAGCCCTACAGTGAGCACTAAGAAAATACAAATATAGGGCTGGGTGTGGTGTCTCACACCTGTAATCCTAGCACCTTGGGAGGCTGAGGCATGAGGACCACTTGAGTTCAGGAGTTCCAGATTAGCCTGGCCAACATGGCTACCAAAAATACAAAAATTAGCCATGCGTGGTGGTGCACACCTGTAATCCCAGCTACTCTGGAGGCTGAGGCACGAGAATTGCTTGAACCCATAAGGTGGAGGGTGAAGTGAGCTGAGATTGTGCCACTGCACTCCAGCCTGGGCGACACAGTGAGATTCTGTCAAGGGAAGGAAAGGGGAGGGGAGGGGAGGGAAGGGGCCACACAAAAACTTGTACAAGAATGTTCACAGCAGCATTATTCATAATAGCCAAAAAGTGGAGATAACCCAACTGTTCATCCATTAATGAATGGATTGTTAAAATGTATTATATCTATGCAATGGGACATTATTCAGCCATTAAAAAAAAAATGAAGTGCTGACATGTGCTACAACATGGATGAACCTTGAAAAGGTACTAAGTGAAAAGAAGCTCTTGCAAAGGGAAGGGGAGGGGAGGGGAGGGGAGAGGAGGGAAATGTAGTAAAAAAAAATCAGTAAAGGATTTAAATTTTACACTAAGAAATATTCACACAAAAAAAGTAAAGGAGGAAGAGAAGAATAAAAAGACATGAGAGATAGAAACAAAAAAAAATTTTTTTTTGAGACGGAGTTTCACTCTTGTTGCCTAGGCTGGGGTGCAATGGCACGATCTCAGCTCACTGCAACCTCTGCCTCCCAGGTTCAAGGAATTCTCCTGCCTCAGCCTTCTGAGTAGCTGGGATTACAGGCACCTGCCACCACGCCCAGCTAATTTTTTAAATTTTTAGTAGAGATAAGGTTTCACCATGTTGGCCAGGCAGGTCTGGAACTCCTGACCTCAGGTGATCCACCCTCCTCAGCCTCCCAAAGTGCTGGGATTACAGGCATGAGCCACCGGGCCTGGCCTACAAAAATTTTAATGTCAGGTATAAATCCAGCTATATCAATAATAATAATAAATGTTAATTAATTGAGCAATCCAATCAAAAGGTAGAGATTGTCAGGCTACATTTATAAAAAAGACCCAACTGTACACGGCTACAGAAGACAGTTTACATTCAAAGATACACATACAGCCAGGCACGGTGGCTCATACCTGTAATCCCAGCACTTTGGGAGGCAGAGGCAGGCGGATCACCTGAAGTCAGGAGTTTGAGACCAGCGTGACCAACATGGTGAAACCCCATCTCTACTAAAAATACAAAATTAGCCAGGCGCGGTGCGCGTGCCTGTAATCCAGCTACTAGAGAGGCTGAGGCACGAGAATCACTTGAACCTGGGAGACGGAGGTTGCGGTGAGCCAAGATTGCACAAATGCACTCCAGCCTGGGCAACAAGAGTGAAACGCCATCTCAAAAAAAAAAAAAGATACACATAGACTGAAAGTAAAAGAATGGAAAAATATATACAAAGAGCAACCATAAGAAAGCTGGAGTGACTGTACTTATATCAAACAAAACAGACTTTAAGTGAAAAGATGTAAAAATGGTACAACTACTTTACAAAAGAGTTTGGCAATTAAACATAGAGTTACCATATCACCTAGCAATTCTACTCTTAGGTACATACTCAAGAGAAATAGAAACATTAAGGCCACACAAGAATGTTCACAGCAGCATTATTCATAATAGCCAAAAAGTGAAGACAACTCAAATGTTCATCCACTAATGAATGGATTGTTAAAATGTGACATATCTATACAATGGGATATTATTCAGCCATTAAAAAAAAAAACAAAGTGCTGACATGTGCTACAACATGATGAACCTTGAAAATGTGCTAAGTGAAAAAAAGCTCTTGCAAAGGATGACAAATTGTATGATTCCATTCATATGAAATGTCCAGAATAGGTAAATCCATACAGACAGAAAGTAGATTGGCAGTTGCCTAGAGCTGGGAAAATGGGTGGGAAAGGGGGAGTGTTTGGAGATAGAGTTTCTTTTTGGGGGTGATGAAAATGTTCTAAAATTGTGTTGATGTTTGCACAACTCTGTTTATATACTAAAAAAAGCATCGAATTGTACACTTGAAATGGGTGAACTGTATATTTTGTGAATTATATCTCAATAATGTTTAAAAAACAGGCAAAACTCTTATCTGGTGATAGAGATCTGATTGATGGTTACCTTTTGCAGGGTTATCAGCTTGGAGAACTGGCATGAGGGAGCTTGCTAATGTCTTAGAGATATTCAGTGTCTGATCTGGGTGATGAATACATGGATGTACACAAGTATAAAAGTTCTTCAAATTATATACTTAAGATTTGTGTACTTTACTATATGCAATACGTTAGGTGAAAAAAAAAAATTTTATTTATTTATTTTTTTTGAGATGGAGTCTCACTCTGTTGCCCAGGCTGGAGTGCAGTGGTTCAATCTCGGCTTTCTGCCTCCTAGGTTCAAGTAATTTTCCTGCCTTGGCCTCCCTAGTAGCTGGGATTACAGGCATGCACCACTACACCCAGCTAATTTTTGTATTTTTAGTAGAGATAGGGTTTCACTATGTCTGCCAGGCTGGGCTCGAACTCCTGACCTCAAGTAATCCACCCAGCTTGGCCTCCCAAAGTGCTGAGATGATATGCACGAGCCACCAAACCTGGCCAAAACATTTCTAAATGTCAGATTTATAATTGTGACTTAAAATATTGATATTAATTAGTTATAATTTTATTTTCTACTCAATTTTAATAGATAAAATATTTTATAAGTAAAATAAAACATAAAATAAATCTTTTTGAGACAGGGTCTTGCTCTGTTACCCAGGCTGGGGTGCAGTGGCACGCTGTCAGCTCACTGCAGCCTCAACCTCCTGGGCTCAAGTGATTCAAGTGATCCTCCCGCCTCAGCCTCCTGAGTAGCTGTGACTACAGGCACGTACCACCAGGCCTAGATAATTTTTGTATTTTTTGTAGAGATGGGGTTTTGGCATGTTGCCCAGGCTGATCTCAAACTCCTGGACTAAAGCAATTAGCCTGCCCCAGCCTCCCCAAGTTCTGGGACTACAGACATGAGCCACCGTGCCTGGCCAGTAGTTTTTATTTTACATTTTTACATTGAGATTCTTTTTTTTTTTTTTTAATTTTTTGAGACAGAGTCTTGCTCTGTCACCCAGGCTAGAGTGCAGTGGCGCAATCTCAGCTCACTGCAACCTCCACCTCCCAGGTTCAAGCGATTCTCCTATCTCAACCTCCTGAGTAGCTGGGATTACAGGCGCCCGCCACCACGCCCGGCCAATTTTTGTATTTTTTTTTTAGTAGAGACGGGGTTTTGCCATGTTAGCCAGGCTGGTCTGGAACCCCTGACCTCAGATGATCTGCCTGTCTCGGCCTCCTAAAGTGCTGGGATTACAGACATGAGCCACGGCGCCCGGCCTACATTGACATTCTTAATGAAAATATATTCACCATATGCAATTTTTGTATCCTTTATTTATTTATTTATTTACTTACTTTTTGAGATGGAGTCCTGCTCTGTCACCCAGGCTGGAGTGCAGTGGCGCCATCTCGGCTCACTGCAACCTCCGCATCCAGGGCTCAAGTGACTCTCCTGCCTCCGCCTCCCAAGTAGCTGGGATTACGGGCCCCTGCCTCCACACCTGGCTAATTTTTGTATTTTTAGTGGAGACAAGTTTTCGTCATATTAGCCAGGCTGGTCTCGAACTTCTGACCTCAAGTGATCCATCTGCCTCGGCCTCCCAAAGTGCTGTGATTACATGCATGAGCCACTGTGCCTGGCCTGTACCCTTTAATTTTTACTACATCTAGGTAATTGCTGTAGATAGAATACAGATAAAAACTTGAATGATAATAACATAATTTGCAATTTTTTTGAAAAGATGGCAAGATAAAAATTATGGAATAAATATAATGATATATAAATTACACTTTAAAAATTTTATTTCTCATCCACACATCACTGGATTATCAGTGGAACATCTGGACACATGCGATAATATTTAAATTCTGTCATTTTTGACATTTCACTTTCAATCATATAAAAACTATAGCTTTACGCACATATTTTTCTATTTGGTTGCTATGAAAATTTACTTGTTGAGGTATGAGGCTATATTTTATTTGGTAGTCTATGTTAACTTGATTTACAACTTTAACAGATTTAAGTATATGGCATGTGGGCCTCAATTTGTTCTTTTGTTATTAATCCCAGAAATGTTATTGGCAGGCCTACACATAGCATGTGTGTTCTGCCTTATATTACAGTTTTCTATGTACTTTTTAACTCCCACTTCATTCTCCCACATACACACAAACAAACACACACACACGACTATAAAGCTCCTGAAGAACAGAGATGGTCTTACCCATTCTTGATTCCCCTGGGTAGTGTGTATCACAGCGATTGTAGGCACTCAATAAATAGGTTTTGAATATCACGGAATCACGCATGTAGGAAGTGGGATGTACACCTTAAGAAATTTCTCCTAAATAGGATGGATTTAAGAAATCCAACAGGCAGAAATGATGGATGTTGAAACTCAAGTCTTTTGTCCTCAGGACATATAAAGCCCCATAAGCAATAGAGAACAAGGTTAGCCAACCTGCCTCACTGAAGTGCCTCCTTTGACACAGTGGATGATTTCTGTAGGTGAGAGGGTCACTGACTCAGAACTGAGCTCTCCAATGTGTGATAATGAGACATATGTCTTCTTGGCATATCTTTTAGAATGAGAAATAGGAAGACATTAAACTTCATACTTGGAGATAAAAAAGTAGCTCTGTAGAACTATATAAATTCCTCTTTGCAATATTCTAACAGTCCACCTATTAGTTCCAGTGGAATGGAATCTAATTGTCTAGATTAGATTGTCCAGTAAAAATTCAAGTAACAATTGTGGTAATTTTAGCAATATAATCAATTGCCATCTATTGGGAAGTTGACTAAGATTCCCTCATAGGTGGGTTGGGCTGAATAAATTCTGAATAACAAAAAATATACATATATATATATAAAGCAACAATTAATTTCACCAAATAGCTATGATCCAGGTCTTCAAATTTCAGGTCAGGCAGACTTGCACAAACCTAAGATCATCTTCCTTCTGTGCAAAAACAGAATGTAGGTCAAAGTTGTGCTGGTGCCAGGCAAGAACAAGTTGGCTTCTCACCTACTTCCATCTTACCAAGTAAATTTTGTGACTTGAAAGGTTTGTATTGGAGATAATAGCAGGCACAAAAGCATGGAAGTCAGAAGAAACAGAATGTCTTCAGGAAATAATCAGTAATTAACTTGGCCAGGAGACCCACTGATTTTCAAACTTTTCTGTCCAAATACCCTCTACAGAGAAAGGATAAATTTGAATGCCCCACCTGCCAGGGAATGTAGGCATTTGGCCCCATGTCCCCACTTAGTCTGTTTTATCTTTTTTTTTGGAGACAGGATCTTACTCTGTTGCCTGGTCTGGAGTGGCATTATCATGGCTCACTGCAGCCCCAACCTCCTAGGTTCAAGCAATCCTCCCACCTCAGTCTCTCAAGTAATGAGGACTAAAGGTGCGCACCACCATGTTCAGCTAATTTTTTAAAAATTTTTTTGTAGTGATGGAGTCTTGCTATGTTGCCCAGGCTGGTCTTGAACCCCTGGGCTCAAGCAATCATCCTGCCTCAGCCTCCCCAAGTGCTGGGATTACAGGCATGAGCTACTGCATCCTGCTTGTTCTATCTTTGAAATGGATGTAAATTTTGCATTCTACTCTATCATATCAATGGTACTCTAAAAAATGTTTAAAGGTCTATCATTAGAGAAGAATACAAGTTTCCTATCTGTATTCTTGGTTAATAGACTTTCTAGGGGAAAACAGATTCCTGTTGGTTTTACTGGCTTATACATATGACCAACCCTTTTATTTATTTATTTATTTATTTATTTATTTATTTATTTAGAGACAGAGTCTTGCTCTGTTGCCCAGGCTGGAGTGCAGTGGTGCGATCTTGGCTCACTGCAGCCTCTGCCTCCTGGGTTCAAGCGATTCTCCTGCCTCAGCCTCCCAAGTAGCTAAGATTATAGGTGCCTGCCACCACACCTGGCTAATTTTTTGTATTTTTTAGTAGAGACAGGTTTTCCCCATGTTGGCCAGGCTGGTCTTGAACTCCTGACCTCAGGTGATCCACCCACCTTGGCCTCCCAAAGTGCTGGGATTACAGGCATGAGCCACCACGCCTGGCCCACCTTTTATATAAATGTATTTTTTTCAAATTTTATGAAAATTATAAATATAAGAATGTATGCAACATAAACGTATGTTTTAAAGATTAATAATAGGACTAAGTTTTTCACCATGTCTTCTCACAAGACTTTCAGGATCACGTAATTCCTGGCCAAGAAACAAAAGCAAAACTGTCTCATTCCCCAGCGGATTTGGATGAAAACTGGTAATCAGGTACAACACCAAGAGGAGACATTGGAGAAGAACGAAGCTGGGTCTATAAGGATTTGCACATGGGATGGCACACATATCTATTCTGTATCAAGGTCACTATCATCTGACCATATCAAGCTGGAAACATCACCACTATCTGGACAGTTGGACATGTTTAATTGCAAAAATTAGTATATACGAATATGCTCTGCACTACCAGCCTGGTTCAGTAATAAATATGTAAAATCTTTTGTTTGAAAAAAAAGAGATTAGCAATAAACTGAACACTAAATAACTACCACTCAACTTAAGAAACAGAACATTCCAGGCCAGGCGCAGTGGCTCACACCTGTAATCCCAGCATTTTGGGAGGCCGAGGTGGGTGGATCACCTGAGGTCAGAAGTTCAAGACCAGCCTGGCCAACATGGTGAAACCCTGTCTCTACAGAAATACGAAAATTAGCTGGGCATGTTGGTGGGTGTCTGTAATCCCAGCTACTCGGGAGGCTGTGGCAGGAGAATCGCTGGAACCCAGGAGGCAGAGGTTTCAGTGAGCCAATATCATACCATTGCACTCCAGCCTGGGTGACAGACCGAAACAGAAAGAGAAGAAACAGAACATTCCAGAACCTTAACCCTCCGAGTATGCCTCTTCCTGATTGTTTCTCCTGCCTGTTCTCCCTTCCTCAAACCACTGTCTCAAATTTAGGGTTAATCATTCCTTTGTTTTTCTCTATTGTTTACTAGTTTACCACAAATGTAGATATTCCTAAACAATATAAGATAAAGTAGCATAAATAGGTTTGTTCATATTTTTAAATTTATCCAGTGTTACTGGACAATGTTTCAGTTTTTTGTAATTACAAAATGTTTCTGTGTTATTCTAGTGTTGCTAGACATCTTGGTGGTTTTCATTTTTTTTTATAATAAAGAGAGTTTTGTCTCCAGGCACATATGGGAAAGAATTTCCTTAGGGCAAATACCCAGGTGTGAAATTATAAGTCATAGAGTATATAAATCTTCAGCTTTAGTAAATAGTGCCAGTAGCAGATTGTATTTTTGAAAGCTGCTTAGCCTTGCATGGTGGCACATAGCTAATCATGTAGTCCCACTTACTCAGGAGGCTGAGGTAGGAGGATCAACTGAGCCCAGAAGTTCCAGGTTGTAGTGAGCCATCATCATGACACCACACTCCAGCCTGGGCAACAGTGAGACCCTGTCTCCAAAAAAGAAAGAAAGAAAGATGGCCACAAAAGTAACTTTAATCTCACGTGGACTTTTTACAATGTGGCTTTGACACACCTCCCATTAAGACATGGAATCTATATCCCTTTCCTTTGATAGCGGGTGGGCAACTGTTTCAACCCTTAGAATATAGCTGAAGTTATACCATGTGGCTTTCAAGGCTAGTTCATAAAAGGCCATGCAGCTTCTACTTTGTTACATCAAATACTTGCTCTGAAAAGATCTTAGCTCCCTTGTAAGCACTGTAGCAGCCTTGTAAGCACTCTGAGGCCCCCATGTTTTGAGCTCAACCTAGTCCATGTTGAGAGGTCACCTGCAGGGATCCTGAGATAACATGAAGACAGATCCTAGTTAGCCGGGCATAGTGGCTCACATATGTAATCCCAAAAACTTTGGGAGGCCGAGGTGGGAAGATCACTTGATCCCAGGAGTTTGAGACCAGCCTGAGAACATAGGGAGACCTCGTCTCAAAAAAAAAAAAAAAAAAAAGACAGATGCTAGCCAACCCCTAGCTGCTCCAAGTCCCAGATGTCCTATTGTAACTAAAGGAGATTACAGAATTGCCCAGCCAAGTCCTTTCCAATTTGCTGACCCACAGAAAATGTGGTGTGTTATTTTGAGTCTCTAAGTTTGAGGTGGTTTGTACACATCTATGGAACTATAGAACAATACCAAATTGTCTTCCATGGGGGCTGTACCAACTTTCAGTAGCAGTGAAGGGAGCACCTGTTATTCCACATCTTCACCTCTGGCTAGTTTTGGCCTGTCTGGTATATGTGACAGGAAATATGATTCTGGTTTTACTTTGAATTTCCCTGATATCCAGTGACTTTGAGCACTTTCATGTATTTAGTTGACCCTTTGTGTTTTTTTCTTTCACACGGTTATATATATATTACAAATACTTCTTTTAGATTGTCACTTGCCTTTTTCACTCTTTTTATAATGTATTTTGATAAACAGCAGGTAGTGATATTTTCCTTTATGGTTTGAGTTTTTCTGTCTTAAGAAATCCTTTCACCCTGAGATCACAGAGATCTCCCATAATTTATTTAAGAAGTTTTAAAGTTTTACTTTCACATTTGAATCTTGAATCATCCATTTAAAATTTACTTTTGTTTGATATGAGTTAAAAAAAATCTTAATGGATCCAACTGAGTATCTTTTCCTAAACTGATGGTTCTATTTTATGTCAAGTTCCCATAGTGTGGTCGGTTTCTGTGCTTTCTTGTCTGTTCTATTGATTTATTTGTTCATTGTTTTGTCAATACCTCATATTTTCAATTAGTACAACTGAACAATAAGATTCGAAAACCTAGTAGAACATGACTCTCTTCCTGATAGTTCTTATTCACAGATAGGCTATGTCTTTCTATTTAGTCTCCCTTAATGTCTTTCAATAAATGTTGATAGGCTGGGCGCGGTGGCTCACGCTTGTAAGGGAGCACTTTGGGAGGCTGAGGAGGGTGGATCACAAGGTCAGGAGTCCAAGACTAGCCTGGCCAAGATGGTGAAACCCCGTCTCTACTAAAAATACAAAAGAAAAATTACTGGGCATTCTGGCACCTGCCTGTAATCTCAGCTACTTGGGAGGCTGAGGCAGGAGAATCATTTGAACCTGAGGGGGTGGAGGTTGCAGTGAGCTGAGATCACACAACTGCACTCCAGCCTGGGCGACAGAGTGAGACTCCGTCTCAAAAATAAATAAATAAATAAACTTTGATAAATGTCTCCATCAAGATCTTACACATTTTTGTCAGATTTATTCCTGAATATTTAAAAATTTTGTTGTTATAATAAGACTATCACTTAAAAAGAAAGTTTTAATGTGTTTTGGTATAATCTTATATCCAGAAACCTTCCTAATTGCTCTTATTAACTGGTTCATAGATCCTTTTTCAGTTTTTCATGTAGAAAATCATTATCTCTCAAGAATTAGAGTCATATCTTCCTTTCAACTTCTTATATCTCTTATTCATTGCCTTGCCTTATTATACTGGCTAATACCTACAGTACAACGGTGAGTAACAGTGGGGATAGTGGCCATTTTTGTCTGCTTCCTAGTTTTAACAGGAATGCTTCATTTCATCATTAAACACGATGTTTGGAGTATGTATTTTGAAACTTGCTTTTATCAGATTTAGAAGTTCTCTTTTTTACCAAGTTACTAAGAACATATTTTTTTCTGTCTAAAAAGGGGTAATCATATGGTTATTGCTATGTGGCACCTAGCCTCCAAGATAGCCCCCAGTGATTCCTGCCTTCTGTTTTTGTTTTTGTTTTTTTTTTTGAGACGGAGTCTCACTCTGTCACCCAGGCTGGAGTGCAGTGGCACAATCTCGGCTCACTGCAAGCTCCTCCTCCCAGGTTCACACCATTCTCCTGCCTCAGCCTCCCGAGTAGCTGGGAATACAGGCGCCTGCCACCACGCCCGGCTAATTTTTTATTTTTAGTAGAGATGGGGTTTCACCGTGGTAGCCAGGATGGTCTCGATCTCCCGACCTCATGATCGGTCTGCCTCGGCCTCCCAAAGTGCTGGAATTACAGGCATGAGCCACCGTGCCCGGCCGCCTTCTGGTATTAACATCCTCATGTAGTGTCTCCCACATTGTACCAGAATGGGTCTGTGTAATCAATAGAATATGGGAGAAGTGATGATATATAATTAGATTAGATTTTAAAAGACTTTGTGACATAATAGAGATATGAATCAATGGAATTGAATTAGGAATCCAGATATAAACCCTACATTCATAGTCAATTGGTTTTGAAAAGGATGCCAAGATATTTTAATGGGTAAAGAATAGTTTTCTCAATAAATGATTCCGAGACAACTCAACATCCACATTCAAAAGAGTGAAGGTGAACTCCTACCTCACACCATATACAAAAATAATGCAAAATGGATCAAAAACCTAACTGTAAGAGCTAAAACTATAAAATTTAGGAAAAAAACATAGGCCTAAATCTTTGTGACCTTGCATTTGGTGATAGTTTCTTAAATATGACACAAAAAGCAAAAGTAACAATAGGAAACACAGATAAATTGTACCTCATCAGAAGGTACTAGTGGCTGGGCACAGTGGCTCATGCCATTAATCCCAGCACTTAGGGTGGCTGAGGCAGGGGGATCACCTGAAGTCAGGAGTTCAAGACCAGCCTGGCTAACATGGTGAAACCCCGTCTCTGCTAAAAATACAAAATATTAGCCAGGTGTGGTGGCAGGCGCCTGTAATCTTAGCTACTTGGGAGGCAGAGGCAGGAGAATCGCTTGAACCTGGGAGGCAGAGGTTGCAGAGAGCCGAGATCACACCACTGCACTCCATCCTGGGCAACAAGAATGAGACTCTATCTCAAAACTAAAATAAAATAATGTACTAGTATCTAGGACAGGTGTGGTGGCTCACACCTATAATCCCAGCACTTTGGGAGGCCAAGGTGGGCGGATCACCTGAAGTCAGGTGTTTGAGAACAGCCTGGCCAACATGGCAAAACCAGTCTCTACTAAAAATACAAAAATTAGCTGGGTGTGGTGGCAGGTGCTTATAATCCTAACTACTCGGGAGGCTGAGGCAGGAGAATCGCTTGAACCCAGGAGGCAGAGATTGCAGTGAGCTGAGATCGCACCACTGCACTCCAACCTGGGCAGCAGAGCAACACTCTGTCTCAAAAAAGAAGAAAAAAGAAGGTAGTAGTATCCAGAATATATAAAGAACTCTTATTCAACAATAAAAAGACAACCCACTTTTATTTTATTTTATTTTTATTTTTATTTATTTATTTATTTATTTTTGAGATGGAGTTTCACTCTTGTTGGCCAGGCTGGAGTGCAATGGCTCAGTCTCAGCTCACTGCAACCTCTTCCTCCTGGGTTCATGCGATTCTTCTGCCACAGCCTCCCAAGTAGTTGAGATTACAGTCATGTGTCACCATGCCCAGCTAATTTTGTATTTTTAGTAGAGACGGGGTTTCACCATGTTGGCCAGGCTGGTCTGGAACTCCTGACCTCAGGTGATCTGCCCACCTCGGCTTCCCAAAGTGCTGGGATTATAGGCATGAGTTACCACACCCAGCCCCAATTTTAAAATGGGCTAAGGATTGGAATAGACATTTCTCCAAAGAAGATATGCAAATTACCGAAAAGCACATGAAAAGATGTCCAACATCATTAGTCATTAGGGAAATACAAATAAAAACCATAAAATAACATTTCACAGCCACTAAAATGTCTATAATAAACAGACAGTAACAAGTGTTGGTGAAGATGTAGAGAAATTGGAACCTTCTTACATTGTTGGTGGGAATGTAATATAATATAGCCCCTTTGGAGAATAATTTGGCAGTTGTTCAAAAAGTTAAACATAGAGTTACCAATATACATTCATATTCCTTGGGATTTCTCTGAGGTCCAGGTTTAAAGCACCTTCTTCCAGAGAGTATTTGAATTTGCTCTCCCAGGTAATTCTGCCAGGTGGAGCAGTACCAATCTAAGGCCACTTTAAATTTGTATCTAGGGATTTTAGGGATTTGCTTTTGTTGTTGTTGTTGTTGTTGTTGTTTTGCATGGTTAGGAACTTTCATAAAAACATATTTTTCCTCTGACAAAACTTAAGTTGAGACAGACAAGCATCCCTGACAAATCCTGCCATTTTTTTTTAAATTTACCTGCTGAAGTGAAGTATCTTTGTGGGGGGCGGGGGGCGGTTCCCAAATCCATGCAGGGGCTTCCATCCAATCTTGCACCATAAAGGGCTAAGTCTTAGTTTTCTCCCCTGCTCACTGAATCTACTAGAACCCAAGCATTAGGCCACCCATGTAGACAAATGCCCCCAGAGCAAATATTAACATTTGAGTGCACTGTTGATTTCAAGTCTTCCTACCAACTGAGCCATACATATTAAAGCTTTTTGAGTGTGCGTGTGTGTGTGTGTGTGTGTGTGTGTGTAAACACACACACATATGGTTTAATTGGGAGGCCATTAGGCTGAGATGGCTTCAGCACCTTGGGTTCCTACCCAAGCAAACCAAAGTTCAATGTAAATGGCAAAAGAAAACTTAAGCCTAACCAATCAGAAGCCATCAATTAACTTCTAACTAGGGATTTCCACGTTAACCAATCAAATATATTTTATTTGTCTTGCTTCCACAAACACGTCATAAAAGTTTGTCTCTCATTCCCCTTGGATCACTTCACTGCTTGCAGGCTGGTGCTGCCCCACTCATGCATTGCTGAATGCTCAAGTAAACTCATTAAAATATTAATGTGGTCAAGTTTATCTTTTAACCATTTGTATGTGTGTGATGTGTGTGTGTGTGTGTGTGTGCGTGTATTCCATCATTTTTAGGGGTTGCATGCCAGGAGGATTTTTCTGGACACCTAATCTTTCATACTGCCCCAAATGAAAAATCTGACAAAACATATTAATTGTGCAGACATTCACACACCCCCACTAAAAAAATAAAATCTTTAAGTAAACACTACTCTCTGGGAAAATGCTTATCTTTTGATTTCTTTTACCCCCTGGATATTCTTGCATTAATCATGTTCAAGGAACACAGTGGAGGAGTGAAAGGTTGGATTGAAGCCACATTTAAAATAGTCCTAAATGCAAAAATAGGAATATAAGACTATTTGGATTTCCAAACTGTCACTTTTGTGATTCAATAGATTGAAACTCCATGGCAGGCATAGTTCCAATTGGCAATAGTTATTTTTTTCAAGTAGATTCCTTCATTCAAACTGTTGAGTGACTCCTACAAATCTAACACTGGATTAATGCTGCATGGAACAAAGGAAATGATGAAAGACGCAGTTCTACCCTGAAGTAATTTGTAAGCAAATCTCAGAAACATTTCTTGTACGCAAATAATTATGATGTAAAGCAAAATATGACAGGTGCTAAATAAATGGTGAGAGTTCAGAGAGCTAAAGAAGTTAAAAGTCAGAAGCAGTATTTCTAGCTAGGAGTGCAGGTAGAGTGACCAATCGTCCTGGTTTGCTGGAGACTGAGGGATCTCCTGGGATGCAGAACCTCCAGTGAGAAAACCAGGATAGTCCTAAGATAACCAGGACAGTTGATCACCTAATAAAGGCGGATGTATAGAAAGAAGCAGAAAAGGCTTCATACAAGATAGGAGATGGAAGTTGAAAAAGACCTTGTGGAATTAATTGGATTGGATTGGCTACCTTTGTTAATACATTTAACATAAACACAACATTAACTTCCTCCTCTACTTCTCAATAGCAGTCCTAGCAACTGTGTAGTGATTCCATTCTTGCTTCAAAAGACAAAGTTACCAAAAAAAAAATTAGTTTAAATATCTAATTGACTTTCATCTGCAATTCAAGAAACAGGTAACATCTCATCCTACATAAAAGAATGGCGTTTCACGGAGCTGATAAGAGGGGATTGGCTTTATAGGCAAAAAAGCACTGAAGAAAGTAGAAAGATAACAAAAGGGAGATTGGTCTTTCAGCTACTTTTCTTATAGGGTTAAAACAGAGGGAACTTTCTAACATGCTTGGTCAGGTAAACTGGGCCCCTTCTGATTGGTTGCTGTGAATCTCCTGGTTGGTTGGTTTTAACTGACAATTTCAAAGTTCAGTTGATTATATGGCACTTAGTTTCAGTGACTCCATTCTGGTTTGGCCTGGTCTGTTGGGCCAGTGCAGAAGCTCAGTCCAAAACAATGGCCTCCCATAAATTTTATTTAACAGTTGTATTTGCTTTAGATTGTCATACAGGTTGAAATCCTTTATTCAGCCATTGATTTCTGGTTTCACTACTGTACTTGTGTATCCTAGACAGTTTTCTAATTTTCAGTTGCTGTACATCCCTTCAACACTGAGTTAAAAAAGCTTTTTGGAATGCTTCTTCCCCCCAAATGTATTAAATTATAATAGAGTATTTGTGGCAATTATGCCCTTGGGTCAACAATTGGAAGGCTGCTTAGAAACATCAAATTGGTCTTCACTGACTACAGATCCTCATAAGCAATAGCTGACCACGCTTTAAATTAAAGAGGAGAAAAGGTGTTTGCCTACTTGGAATACTATAAACCAGTGCTTCTCAAACTTTAACATACGTACAAACTACCCCGAGTTTCCCCTATCTTGTTAAAATGCAAATTTTGACACGTGGAACTGAGGTTCTTATTTCTAACAAGCTCCCAGCTGATTTCATTGCTATTGGTCCTAGGACCACACTTTAAGCAGCAAGGCTATAAAGCAGACAGGCCCTTTAAGTGACTTGTACCTTCCTAAATTTCCCTGCACCCCCTAAAATTTTTTTACGTTGCTATTAAGTCTGAAATTCCACCAATTACATTTCTGTAAAATGAGCTGTAGATTTATTCACAACTTAATATTAATTCTTTTAATCTAATAGTTTTCCTCATCATATCCACTGAGTTGGGAACTTTTATGTATGAACATTGGTTTTTATAAATAAGGAATTTTAATAATGAGGCACTGTGTACGAAAGAGTGAACAAAACAGTGGGCAGAAGGGGGTTAGAAAGAGGTGGGTGTTTGGCAGCTTGCAAAGTATGATGAAAGCAGAGACACCTGGGGTCAGGGCAAAGGCTTTATGAGGAAGTAGGAGGAGGTGAAGAAAGAGAGGTGTGAGGCTACCTGTACAAACCTCACAGTTTTAGAAGCCTTGCCTTGGGCCAGGCTGAGGAAATCTAACCATCTCAATAAAAACAGCAAGCCTATACCTAACTTTTTATAGAATGGTAGTAAGATCCATGTATATATCAGTAAGGATTATTATTTTTTCTTAATTTGCTTATGCAGTTGTGAAATGCACAGTCATTTTGCTAAATGCACAAGCCAGTTGAGACTGCAGGAAATGTCCTTTAATAAAAATTAAAGATGTCAAGAGAGGATTTAGAGCTCAAGGTAAGACCAATGAATGGCATCACAGAATGATAATGATAAATGGTAAATGAGTTAGAGATCTTTGAACAAGCAGATTTAATTGGATTGCTCAGTGTCATTCAGGTAGTTAATGAAATAGCCTGAACTTGAATACCAAGACTCTTGACTCTTCATCAAGTGCTTTCTTTTTTTCCTTCTAACATCAAATGCTTTTTAAAATACTACACACTAGTTCAGAAGTCTAGGTTAACATTTCCCAAAAGGCTTCATATTTTGGTTTCACTAAGTTCTTTCTAAAAATGTGTGGAAGCAGGCTGGGCGTGGTGGCTCATGCCTGTAATCCCAGCACTTTGGGAAGCTGAGGCAGGTGGATCACCTGAGGTCTGGACTTCAAGACTAGCCTGACCAACATGGAGAATCCCCATCTCTACTAAATATACAAAAGTTTGCCGGGCATGGCGGCACATGCCTGTAATCCCAGCTACTCAGGAGGCCGAGGCAGGAGAATTGTTTGAACCCAGGAGGCGGAGGTTGCAGTGAGCCAAGATCATGCCATTGCACTCCAGCCTGGGCAACAAGAGCAAAACTCCGTCTCAAAAAAAAATAATAAAATAAAACTATAAAATAAAAATGTATGGAAGCATTTTTGTGCTTAGTGATCTTATACTTTAATGGTTCAACTAATTTCCTTGTTGCTGTGTTTCGTTTTTGTTTTTGCTTTTTATGGAACTCATCTGACTGGCACGATATATTTTTTAAGGGATTTGTTTTCATTTCTAGGAGACCCATACAATTTATTGCACATAAAGTCCAAACTGAAATAAATCAATTTATTTTCAGAACATAATCCAGGTGACATCAGGAGCATTTGTTTTGAGAAACAATAAACCCTATTCTCCTGTCTCAAAAATAAGCCCTGTTTTCTTTTGAAATTCCTCCACCTACCATGTGCATACTCCATGTCTGGATTTGGACAGCAAAGGCAGATGTGAAATAGACAATGGAGCCAATTGAGATAGACCTGTGAGTCCTGACCTGGGACATTACCCCACCTGCCAGCTTTACCTACTTGGCTAGGACACACCTTGAAGCACCTGGAAGGTAAATGTGGAACAAATGAAAGATAATACCATGCCATCATGCAGGTCATCAAGCAGTGATATTTATTACCAGAAATGACACAAACTAGTATGTTTCCTTCCCAGGCTCTATCTTACCCTTTATCAAAAATGCATTATGATGTTATACTTTTACACTCCAGTGTGAATTAAACTCAATTTATTGCACTTTCTAAAACAGTTCGGATATTATACCTCAGTGCTACTCTAAGTAACAGTGATGGAAAGACAAGGTCTCCAGTCATATCCGTTATCGTAGAGGGCAAGAAAGCATTGTTTTTGTAGAGAGGAGTTTTCTAGAACCCCTGAAATCACAATGGGTAGAGAACAGAATATTCTGAAATCCCAATTATAGCGTCATAGAACTCTTAGGCAGATTTGTTACTTCATGGGTGTTATTCTTAAGGAGTTATTAAGAGAATCAGAATCTCACAATTAGGATCTCATAATCTTGCAGTTGAATTTACAAAAGAAAACTGCTCACAAAACATTCTTTTCTTTTTTTTTTGAGACGGAGTCTTTGCTTTGTCACCCAGGCTGGAGTGCAGTGGCATGATCTCGGCTCACTGCAGGCTCTGCCTCCCAGATTCACGACATTCTCCTGCCTCAGCCTCCCGAGTAGCTGGGACTACAGGCGCTCACCACCACGCCCGGCTAATTTTTTGTATTTTTTAGTAGAGGCGGGGTTTCACCGCGTTAGCCAGGATGGTCTCGATCTCCTGACCTCGTGATCCGCCCGCCTCAGCCTCCCAAAGTGCTGGGATTACAGGCGTGAGCCACCGCGCCTGGCTGACAAAACATTCTTTAGTGTCAGTATTAGACTCAACACTTGCATGGATGAATCACAAACGTTTCCCATAATAGCAAATAAAATCATAAAATCAAAGAGATTACCTAATACAAACTTGCATTTGACAGATGAAACAAATTTTTATGTTCTTGTATACTTGATGTCCTGCCATTAATGAAATAAGTAGGATAAAAAAAACAAAATATACAGAAACCATAAGAAAGAAAAAGAAGTACGAGCCCAGGCAAATAGCCCAGTTTTGCATTTCATGTTTATTATATCCCTATAATTGTTATCATCCTATAAATTTTCAGATAATTTTGTAACCATTTAATGCAAAGACTTCTTTTTTTTTTTTTTTTGAGACTAAGTCTCACTCTGTCACCCAGCCCCAAGACTGTTTTCTTTTTTTCTGAAATTTAGCTTCAGCTGAGCTGAAACTTAAAGCTAAATTTGCTACCCAGAACTCAATAGTGACTCACTATAGTTAAGGAGAGTATAAATAAAGAAAATAATCATAGGCACCTGCAGGTGCTAAGACAATTAAGAGAAACTATAAATATTATTCACATTGAAATTCATCAGCAACTCAATACAGATGCATGTATTGTTTCTTAAGAAATCACAAAGTAGGCCGGGCATGATGGCCCACACCTGTAATCCCAGCACTCTGGGAGGCGGAGGCAGGTAGATCACCTGAGGTCAGGAGTTCGAGACCAGCCTGGCCAACAGTGAAACCCCATCTCTACTAAAAATACAAAAATTAGCCAGGCACGGTGGTGCATGCCTGTAATCCCAGCTACTCGGGAGGCCGAGAGGGGAGAATCGCTTAAAGCCGGGAGGCGGAGGTTGCAGTGAGCCAAGGTCGCCCCACTGCACCTCAGCCTGGGCAACAAGAGTGAAACTCTGTCGGAAAGAAAGAAGGAAGGAAGGAAGGAAGGAAGAAAGGAAGGAAGGGTGGGCATGAAGTATATAGAATGAGCCAATGTTCAATAAACAGTAGAAAAGAACAGATCTAAGGGAAATTTGCTGTGTTTAAAATTTATACTTTCTTTTTTGCCTCATAAAGGATGAAAATCACTTCTTTTTTCTCTTTTATATATCCTCCCTTTAATTAGTGTTCAGATAGTGTGTATAGTGCTGAGAGTCCTACACTTCAGACACAGAATTCAAATGGAGAAGAAAAATGCAAAGTTCTTGCCAATTTCTAGATGAAGTTTCAGCAGTTTTACTTTTTAGGTACAGTGAAAATGGTTGAAGTTGGCTCAGGGATATATGTTATGCTGATTAAAGACTTACTAGATTTATGATAAAGAATTTCCTTGAATAATTTAAAAGAAAAAGATGCTAATTTCTAGAGATTATTTTATATTTAGTTGATCAAAGCTCTATGTAGCAAAATAATTCGCACTCTCCAACTGTGGCAGATTGTTATCATAATAACTCCTAAAGTATTATGAGTCTCATGAGTCCTCATTTTCATGGTCCATGACATTGCCTCTCCTTCCATCAAAAGGTAGACTCTATTACCCTATGGCCTAGAATCTGGACAGGCCTTGTGATTTGCTTTGACCAATAGGATGTGGCAGAATGATGTTGTGTGAGCACTGGAGCCTGAGCCTGAAGATTCTTGGCAGCTTCTGCCTTTGCTGTTTTGGAACAAAGGTGCCATGTAAAGAAGTTTAAACTGGCTGCTGCTTGCTGAATGATGAGAACCCACATGGAGAGAAAAATCTCAGCCTTGCAATTATCCCCATCAAAGTCAAGGAACAATGAGCCATGATCATGATCTTTAGATTGCATTTTTTTGCTAAATGTGAAATAAATATATTATATAATACACGTGTAAATAGAATAGGTTTTCCCCCGAGATCTTAGAAGAGAATGCCTATAGTATGTTAATAAGCCTTGGTATCATACTATAAAAAGAGCAGGAGGTAAAGGCTAACCATGTTGCATCATTATTTAAAATCCTGACCCGGCACACAACGGCTCACATCGGTAATCCCACAGCACTTAGGAGGACTGAGGTGGGAAGAATACTTTGAGCCCAGGAGTTCAAGATCAAGCTGGGCAACAAAGTGAGACCCCTGTCTCTACAAAAACAAAAGCAAAAATTAGCCAGGCATGGTTGCGTGCAACTATAGTTCCAACTACTCAGGATGCTAAGGTGGGAGGATCCTGATACACAATGAAGTTTGAGAACCACTGAGCTAAGAAAACAGCTATTGTTAGCTAATGAAATACTCAAGTGGGCAGCCCCAAAAGTTGATCAGTCCACTCTTGCTATTATTTATTTATTTATTTATTTATTTTTGAGACAGAGTTTTGCTCTTCTTGCCCAAGCTGGAGTGCAATGGCGCGATCTTGGCTGACTGCAGCCTCCACCTCCTGGGTCAAATGATTCTCCTGCCTCAACCTCCTGAGTAGCTGGGATGACAGGAGCGTGCCACCATGCCCGGCTAATTTTTTTGTATTTTTAGTAGAAACGGGGTTTCACCATGTTAGCCAGGCTGGTCTTAAACTCCTGACCTCAGGTGATCCGCCCACCTCGGCCTCCCAAAGTGCTGGGATTACTATTCTGGCTGGATATCGAGATAGTGGGCAGTTTCCTTGCCCCCTAGGGAAGGCTTGCCTAGCATGAGGCTACCCTGTGCAACCTCACAACAATTATAGAAACTCTATCCTATAAGACTGTGATGCTCTTACTTGCCTCAAAGTCTTCCCAGACTCATTAGCCAATACTGTGCTTGACAATCACTTGGCTTTTGATTACCTCTTGGCAGAACAAGGTGGGATATGTGTAGTCACTAACTCTTCCTGTTGTGCTTTGGTAAATAATTCAACATTAATAGAAAAAGACATTAAATTTATCTATGACCAGGTCAAGTGGTTGCACCAATTTACGAAAAGGGCACAAATGCTCAGGGAATATGGGAGATCATAAAATAGGCCATCCCTAATCTCACCTGGTTTTTACCCTTCCTGGGCTCTTTAGCTGCCATCCTACTTCTCTTGATTCTGGGCCCTGTCTCTCAAACTGTCTGGTCTCTTTTGTGTCTAAGTAAATTGAAGACGGCAGGGCGTGGTGGCTCACGCCTGTAATCCCACCACTTTGGGAGGCTGAGGCAGGTGAATCACTTGAGGTCAGGAGTTTGAGACCGGCCTGGGCAACATGGTGAAACCCTGTCTCTACTAAAAATACAAAAATTAGCTGGGCGTGGTGGCACACACCTGTAATCCCAGCTGCTGGGGAGGCTGAGGCAGGAGAATCACTTGAACCCAGGAGGCGGTGGTTGCAGTGAGCTGAGATCGCTCCACTGCACTCCAGTCTGGGCAACAGAGTGAGACTCTGTCTCAAAAAAAAAAAAATAAATAAATAAAATAAATAAATAAATAAAGTGAATTGAAGCCATACAGGGATATAAACAGCTAGATTTGCACCCAGGAGATAACCAGACCTATCTAAGACTAGTTAGGAAAAAATTTCACTAATCTAATAGGCCCCATGTAAACACCCAAACTCAGCTTGAAGAAGCTGTAGAAGACAGACCTTCATTCCACAGCACTCCTCAAGAATGAGGACTGAGGCCAGACACAATGGCTCACACCTGTAATCCCAGCATTTTGGGAGGCTGAGGCAGGCAGATCACTTGAGCTCGGGGTTCGAGACCAGCCTGGGGAACATGATGAGACCCCCCCCCCACCACCACCATCTCTACAAAAAAAATACAAAAATTAGCTGGGTGTAGTGACATGTACCTGTGGTCCCAGCTATCCTGCAGGATGAGGTGGGAGAATCGCTTGAGCCCAGGAGGTTGAGGCTGCAGTGAGCTATGATCATGCCATTGCACTCCAGCCTGGGTGACAGAGCAAGACCCTGTTTCAAAGAAAAAAAAAAGAGAAAGAATGAGGAGTGAATGTACAGAAAAAGGGAGATTTGTGTTTTTTGTTTTTTTGTTGTTGTTTTTGGGAGAAGAGGCCAATGCAAGTCTTTATTGGAAAGAAAAGACTTTATAGCACATTTGAGTAACTTAACACAGAGGCTCCATGGGCCCCCTGATGGGGCAGGTTCCACAGTTAGGATATCACTGGCTCTTGCCTTTGTGTAGCCAAAACTAGATGATGGCACTGTTGTCCTCTTCATAGATATAGCCCACTATTCACTTATTGGTGATGGTGGGGACCAAATTAGGGTTCCCTGTGACTGAAGCTGCCTTTGGGGGTATTATACTGTATGGGTCCAGTCCCTTCCGTGCAGCCATCATGAGCTCCCTCTCCAACCCAGCCGCCTTCTTGTCATCAGTAAGAACACCACCTCCAGATGCCATGGAGTACACCATGGCCACTCCATTGGAATTGCGGGCCCTCAGGGCCTGTGTGGCCAGCGCTCTGGTCTGCAAAGCATCTTGAAGCCATCACACCTGTGACAAGCAGTAGCACTGGGAGATTTGTCACCTGGTATAACATGTAGGTGACATAGGTGAATTCCTACTGTATCCAAACTCTTGTTTATCTTTAAGAAACAGGATGCCTGCAATTAAAAGTTCCCTTTGTAACCAGACTAACTGAGACTGGTTAGAACCAAGATAGCCAACCAAATGACTTCAAGAAGACCTCAGGCTTCATTATAATCTCACTTCCATGCTAAATGACACTCCCACTAGTGCCATGACAGTTGACAATTGCCAAGACAGTGACCAGAAGAAGCCATAAAAGCACAAAAAAGAAGGCAGCACTATGGTTCTGGGAAGCCCACCACCCATTTCCAGAAAAAATGTGAGTATTTCTCCCCTTGCTTTTAAAGTCCAACCCCATTATTAGAGAAGCCCTAAATTTTAGTCCCCTCACCTTTCACTTATTGAGACATTGATTAGTGAGCCAGGCTCCCACTTCTGGATTCCATGGCCATTGAATAAAGCCTGCACTGGTTGACACTCACTTTTAGTTTTGTATATTGACTTCATGACACCAAATAGTAAAGTACCACATCTTTATAGGGACCAGCTTTGTTGTTCATAAAACTGGCAACCCAGATGGGACACTGGACTAGATTAGGGAAGGCCTATTTGGGAAGGCCCTTTGCCTCACCGCAGACCTGGCAACAGGCACCTGACAGCTGGAACCAGCTTTGTCAGTAACATTGTGAAGATTAAATGTAGACATAAACTCTTAGGACAGTACATGGCACAGGATAGGAATAGTCTGATTTTTTAATTAATTTATTTATTTTTTGAGATGGAGTCTCACTCTGTCACCAAGGCTGGAGTGCAATAGTGTGATCTCGGCTGGGGCAGGCTCAAGTAGGCTGCCTCAGCCTCCCGAGTAGCTGAGATTACAGATGTGCACTGCCACGCCTGGCTAATTTTTGTATTTTTAGTAGAGATGGGGTTTCACCATGTTGGCCAGGCTGGTCTCAAACTCCTGACCTCAGGCAATCCGCCCACCTCGGCCTCCCAAAGTGCTGGGATTATAGGTGTGAGCCACCATGCCCAGCTGAATAGTCTGAATTTTAGCCATTATTAGAGATCTGGGGAACTCTTTTTTCCTTTATGTGTAGAGGAGTTGGCCTACTGAGGAACTCTACCACCAATCAGTCTGTGCTATGACTGAGTTTCTGGAGTCAGTCTACCTCTAAATGTGTTCATGGACATAGAGTAGCAAGCATGGCTTCATGTATCCCTATACAAAGTGTTTTCATTTCATTTCCTATTGCTGCTGCAATGAATTCTGGAGGCTCTAGGGGAGAGCCTGTTTTCTTGCCTTTTCCATCTTCTGTAGGCGGCCTGCATTCCTTGGCTTGTAACCCTGCTTTATTCCAGGCCTCTGTTTCCATCGTCATACCTCCTCTTCTTATTCTCAATATCCTGTCCCTCCCCTTATAAGATTCATGTGATTGCCGGGCACGGTGAATCATGCCTGTAATCCTAGCACTTTGGGAGGCCAAGGCGGGCAGACTGAGCTCAGGAGTTCGAGACCAGCCTGGGCAACATGGTGAAACCCCATCTCTACTAAAATACAAAAAAAATTAGCCAGGAGTGGTGGCGTGCGCCTGTAGTCCCAGCTACTCGGGAGGGTGAGACAGGAGAAGTGCTTGAACCTGGGAGGCAGAGGTTGCAGTGAGCTGAGATTGCACCACCGCCCTCCAGTCTGGGTGACAGAATGAGACACTGTTTCAAAAAAAAAAAAAGATTCATGTGATTACTTTGGGCCCATTGGCTAATGCAGGATTATCGCCCCATCTCAAGATCCTTAATTTAGTCACATCTACAAAATCCATTTGACCATGTAAGATAACATATTCTCAGGTTCTAGAGATTAGAAGGTGGGCATCTTTGATGAGGAAGTGTCAGTTTATGCTTACCACACTGGACAAGGAGTTTATCTCGGTTGTGGTGGACACATTTCTCTGAATCATACAGAGGTCATGTTAGCCACTTTCTCACGGATGGCTCTTTTCCCGAAGAATAACAGTGGGAAAGAAAAATGCCAGCCTTTGAAAAGACAGAGAGACAGAGGAGTATACCATTTTTCTTATGTGAGTGAAGAAATGGTGATAGGAATGGTTACTTTCTGAAAATATGCAAGGACTATCTAAAACCCTGGAATGTTAAGGGCTTGATGACATAGAAGTCATAGTAGCAACTCCAGCCTCAGCTGGAAGTAGGCTGAAGTAGGCTGCATGGCCTCTTTACACTTTCGCATATGCTTCCAGATCCCACATGTCAGTGACAAATGATCGTGTTATATAGCAAAACACGTAAGAACACAAGCTCTGGAGTCAGCCAAGACCCACATCCTTGCTCCGCTAGCTCTGCTATTTACTAATTGGGTGACCTTGGATGACCTGCTTAACTTCTCTAGACTAAGTTTTCTTGACTGTAAAATGGGGATAATGAGAGGTCACAGGTTTGTTATTAGGATTACATGAGATAATGTATGCAAAGTGCTTAGCATAGTGTCTGACACAGTAATTACTATTCAGTAAATTATTATTATTATTATAACTGGAATAAATATGAGGAAAGATAAAGTAGAACTGCACCATCTAACACAACAACATATTCTATAATCCCCTATAAATCTCCCCCCAAAGTCCCACTCATCATAGAAACTACTCTCCTAAATTGCTCTTCTTTGTCTCTTTGGAAACTCCTATCCTTTCTGGGTCTCTTCTTCTCACTTTTGGAATAATTTCTGTCAGACATCTTCTGTATGGCTTCTCATTTAGGCTCATTCCATTCTGTTTCTCTGCCCATTTAACTAATGAGTATAACAAAGGCACAATATTGAGTCATATAGATATCCCTTTAAAAGAGCTGAAAGTGGCAGAAACAAGTCTGTGAATACTTACCCTGGTCTCTTTTTGTCCTATCAACTTCTGTTTTTTTGTTTTGTTTTGTTTTGTTTTTGAGACACAGTTTCACTCTGTCGCCCAGGCTAGAGTGCAGTGGCACGATCTATCTCGGCTCACTGCAACCTCTGCTTCCTGGGCTCCAGTGATTTTCCTGCCTCAGCCTCCGAGTAGCTGGGATTACAGGCTCCCGCCACTGTGCCCGGCTAATTTTTGTATTTTTAGTACAGATGGGGTTTCACCATGTTGGCCAGGCTGGTCTCGAACTCCTGACCTCAGGTGATCTGCCCGCCTTGGCCTCCCAAAGTGTTGGGATTACAGGTGTGAGCCACCATGGCTGGCCATTTCTTTCTGTGTTGTTGTTGTTGCTGTTTTGTTTTGTTTTGTTTTTTCCGAGATGGAGGCTCACTTTGTCACCCAGGCTGGAGTGCAGTTTGTGCAATCTCGGCTTACTGCAACCTCTGCCTCCTGGGTTCAAGTGATTCTAGTGCCTCAGCCTCCCAAGTAGCTGGGGTTACAGGCATGCGCCACCACGCCCAGTTAATTTTTATATTTTTAGTAGAGACATGGTTTCACCACATTGGCCAGGCTGATCTCGAGCTCCAGTTCTCAAGTGATCTGCCCACCTCGGCCTCCCAAAATGCTGGGATTACAGGACAGTCAACCTCATTTTTTATCCTCATGCTCTTCCAGCTTACAACCTTGTTCAGGTGTGCCAAATGTTTGGAGAACCATATAAATTGAGCTTATTTATATTCAGTTTGGAATTCTGAAGCATTTATTAAACTCTTTCATCTATGTTGACTGGGGAACAATGCATCTGCTCAATAGTGACTGCTCTGGAAAAGTCCTTGTTAAGCTACTAGCTGCAGGTTTCTTCTATCCAAGGAGGACATCTAGAGGCTAACTGTGATGTGTAGCCTTTCCAGGAATGCTTTCCAAATTGTTTTCTTCACAGATCCAATCATAAATCATAAATCACATACCCAGTAAGTCTAACTAGAATAAATATTAAAGTATAGCTTATCTTAAGGGAAGAAACAGACCTAATGACGTTACATTTATTTTCCAGGCACAGTAGAAGTACATTAAGGGTACAGAAGAACTTTTAAATGTGATGAGTTGGGAGAAGAGCCATAAAGACAATTTGGGGGCTGGGCGCACTGGCTTATGCCTGTAATCCCAATACTTTGGGAGGCGGAGGCAGGTGGATCACTTGAGATCAGGAGTTCGAGACCAGCCCAGCCAACATGGTGAAACCCCCCTCTCTACTAAAAATACAATAATTAGCTGGGCATGGTGGTAGGCGCCTGTAATCCTGGCTATGTGGGAGGCTGAAGCAGATGAATGGCTTGAATCCAGGAGGTGGACGTTGCAGTGAGCTGAGATGGAGCCACTGCACTTCAGCCTGGTCAACAAGAGCAAAACTCCATCTCAAAAAAAAAAAAAAAAGGATTTGGGACAGGTGAAGAAATTTGAGCATGTTGGTTGATGTGACTGAGTTAATATTGATTTTCTTAAGTGTGTTAGGACCCTGTGCTTCTGCAGGACAGTATTCCTGTTCTTGGGAGATTCAAGCTGGGATATTTAAGAATAATGTAGGAAGACATCTGCAACCTACTTTCAAATGTTTTAACAAAAAGGAGATGTGTGTATACATATGTAGAGAGACAAAGCAGGTGTGGCAAGAGGTCATCAGTTGGTAAATCTAAGTGGGGAGAAATGTGAGTATTCATTACACTTTTCTACAACTTTACGTTTTTTCCAAATGAAAAAAGTTAGAACAGGCTGGGAATGATGGCTCATGCCTATAATCCCAGCACTTTGGGAGGCCGAGGCCCGTGGGTCACCTGAGGTCAGGAATTCAAGACCAGCCTGGCCAACATGGTGAAACCCTGTCTCTACTAAAAATACAAAAATTAGCCGAGCATGGTGGTGGGCACCTGTAATCCCAGCTATGTGGGAGGCTGAGGCAGGAGAATGGCTTGAACCCCAGAGGCGGAGGTTGCAGTGAGCCGATATCATGCCACTGCACTCCAGCTTGGGCGAGTGAGTGAGACTCCATCTAAAAAAAAAAATCAGAACATAAAAGCAATGAGCAAAGTCACTTAAAATATTACCTGAATTTGTATCTCCACCGTTGTGACATCTCTTATGCTGTGTTTTGTTCCTGTGTTGAAATTGGACTTTTTTTTTTTTTTTTTTTTGTGATGGAGTCTCACTGTGTCACCTAGGCTGGAGTGCGGTGGCACGATCTCAGCTCACTGCAACCTCCACCTCCCAGGTTCAAGCGATTCTCTTGCCTCAGCCTCCTGAGTAGCTGGGATTACAGATGCATGCCACCACACCCAATTGATTGATTGACTGATTAATTTTATTTATTTATTTATTTTTGAGATGGAGTTTTGCTCTTGTTGCCCAGGCTGGAGTGCAATGGCATGATCTCGGCTGACTGAAACCTCTGCCTCCTGGGTTCAAGTGATTCTCCTGCCTCAGCCTCCCGAGTAGCTGGGATTACAGGTGTGCACCACTATGCCCGGTTAATTTTGTATTTTTAGTAGGGACAGGGTTTCTCCATGTTGGTCAGGCTGGTCTGGAACTCCCAACCTCAGGTAATTCGCCCGCCTCAGCCTCCCAATATTTTTTTATTTTTAAAGATGGAGTCTAGGCCGGGCGCGGTGGCTCGCGCCTGTAATCCCAGCACTTTGGGAGGCTGAGGTGGGCGGATCACCTGAGGCCGGGAGTTCACGACCAGCCTGATCAACATGGAGAAACCCCATCTCTACTAAAAATACAAAATTAGCCAGGGGTGGTGGCACATGCCTGTAATCCCAGCTACTCGGGAGGCTGAGGCAGGAGAATTGCTTGAACCCAGGAGGCGGAAGTTGCGGTGAGCTGAGATCACGCCATTGCACTCCAGCCTGGGCAACAAGAGTGAAACTTTGTCTCAAAAAAAAAAAAAAAAAAAAAAGATGGAGTCTTGCTCTGTGGCCCAAGCTAGAGTGCAGTGGCGTGATCTCAGTTCACTGCAACCTCTGCCTACCTGGTTCAAGCAATCCTCCTGCCTCAGCCTCCCGAGTAGCTGGGATTATAGGCACCTGCCACCATGCCTGAATAATTTTTGTATTTTTAGTACAGGCAGGGTTTCACCACGTTGACCAGGCTGGTCTCAAACTCCTGATCTTGTGATCCGCCTGCCTCGGCCTCCCGAATTGCTGGGATTACAGGCATGAGCCACCGCGCCCAGCTGAAATTGGAGTTCTTATGTCTTCCAATCTCACTGTATTGTAATCACTCACATAGTTATTCTGTGCTCCTTGTATCACTCAGCATACAGCAAACACTCACAAATATTTGCTAATGCTAGAAAAAAAAAGTGATAGAAAACTTCACAGCTCCCCACTGTGCCATGCTCCCTCTGGTCTTCCTTAGGGCGGGGAGAATGCTTCCTTCCTCTGTTTCCCCTTCCTCCAGATTCCCACGTTGGGGGAAGCCTTCCTGGCCCTGCTTCTGTGCTCTTAGGTCATTTCCCCTTCTTTAGCACTCATTGCACAGTATATTCTAATTGTCAATTTTCTTTACTGGATTCTCCAACCACACTACAGTTTCCTTGAGGAGAAGGGAATTTTGTCTGCCTTTTTTACAGCTGTTACCTTAGTCCCTGATACAGCAGCTGGCACACAGTAAGAGCTTAATACTTAGTGAATGAATGGCCAATGCTAGGGTGACCAATGTTTTAAAGAGCCAAACTGGCTGGGCATGGTGGCTCATGCCTGTAATCCCAGCACTTTGGGAGGCTGAGGCAGGTGGATCACCTGAGGTTGGGAGTTCGAGACAAGCCTGACCAACATGGAGAAACCCCGTCTCTACTAAAAATACAAAATTAGCAGGGCGTGGTGGCGCATGCCTATAATCCCAACTACTCAGGAGGCTGAGGCAGGAGAATCGCTTTAACCCGGGAGGTGGAGGTTGCGGTGAGCTGAGATCACGCCATTGCCTGGGCGGAGCAAAACTCCGTCTCAAAAAAAAAAAGAGACAAACTGGAATACAGCCATACTAGAAACTCCCCCAAATACATGTATAGCTATACACATATATGTTGTTAATTTAGCATAAAATATGAACACAGTGTTTATTTGATATCAAAGGTGTTTTGATTATTATGGTAAAACAATTTCTTAGAAAGAAGTTCAAAGTCCTCCTTTTCAGGAGGGACTCTTTATTGAGTTAATCTTTATATTATTATTATTATTTTTGAGACAGGGTCTCACTCTGTTGCTCTGGCTGGAGTGCAGTGGCACGATCATAGCTCACTGCAGCCTTGACCTGCTGGGCTTAAGCAATCCTCCCACCTCAGCCTCCCAAGCAGGGAGTATAAGCATGAGCCACCACACTCAGCTAATTTAAAAACATTTTTTGTAGAGATGGAGTCTCATTATGTTAGCCAGGCTGGACTTGAACTCTTGAGATCAAGTGTTCCTCCCGCCTCGGCCTCGCAAAGTGCTGGGATTACAGGTGTGAGCCACCGTGCCCAGCCAATCTTTGTATTCTTTATTACAGTTTTATACTCACTTCCCATTTAATACTCTTTTCTTTTCCTTCCTTCCTTCCTTCCCTTCTCTCTCTCTTCCTTCCTTCTTTCCTCCCCTCTCTCTCTTCCTTTCTTCCCTCCCTTTCTTTCCTTCCTTCCTTCCTTCCTACCTTCCTTCCTTCCTTCCTCCCTCTCTCTCTTTCCTTTTTCTTTCTTTCTTTCTTTGACAGGGTCTCATTCTGTCACCCAGGATGGAGTACAGTGGCGCGATCTCGGCCCACTGCAACAATCTCGGCCTGCTGCAGCCTCAACTTCCCGAGCTCAGGCCATCCTCCTGCCTCAACACTCCCCACCCGACTACCCCTCTGTCCCCGAGTAGCTGGGATTACAAGGGAGCACCACCACGCCTGGCTAATTTTTATATTTTTTTGTAGAGACGGGTTTTTGCTATGTTGCCCAGGCTGTAATACTTTTTTCTGATCAACTTATTACATATACATATACATATAAACATTATATATATATGTATTGTATATAGATATACTTTGTTTATTTTTACTTTTTCAAATTCTATTTCTAACCCATTGCTCCAATAAAGGGAACCTACTAAGTTTATGGATCTTTACTTATAGCTAGCCATTCTAACTTGTTGTATTAATTCTAAAGCTCTTTAGTTGAGCATCCCAGATTTTCTATATACATAGTCATAGCGGCTGGGCATGGTGGCTCACGTCTGTAATCCCAGCACTTTGAGAGGCCGAGGTGGGCGGATTGCCTGAGGCCTGGAGTTTGAGACCAGCCTGGTCAACCGGGAGAAACCCTGATTCTACTAAAAATACAAAATTAGCTGGGCGTGGTGGCACATGCCTGTAATCCCAGCTACTCAGGAGGCTGAGACAGGAGAATCGCTTGAATCCGGGAGGCAGAGGTTGCTATGAGCCGAGATCACACCACTGCACTCCAGCCTGGGGAACAAAAGCAAAACTCTGTCTCAGAAAAAAATGAATAATGGCCTTCAAATTAATGCATGCATACCTTCGGGTTACACAAAGACTTTGCCAATGCTATATCAACAGGAAAGCTTTAACAGTCTCCAGATACTTAGGTTGTGTGTGTTCTTTTTCCTAAAGCTGGTGACCACGTGTCTCTCTCCCTCATACTTGAAAGGCACTTTTTGGTAATGATACTCAGGATTGTAATTAAATTTTCCAATAGTATTCTAGTTATCTAACCAAAGTATCATTTTACAGTGCAAGAAACTCAGTCCCAGTGAGATTTTCTGATGCTTCAAGGGTCATACAGTTCCATGTTACCTTCCTCTAATTTAGTAGAAAAATTTATGCCAGGCTGGCACAGTGGCTCAAGCCTGTAATCCCAGCACTTTGGGAGGCTGAGGTGGGCGGATCATCTGAGGTCAAAAGTTTGATACCAGACTGGCCAACGTGGAAAAACCCCGTTTCTACTAAAAATACAAAAATTAGCCGGGCATGGTGGCACATGCCTGTAATCCCAGCTACTCAGGAGGCTGAGGCAGGAGAGCACTTGAACCCAGGAGATGGAGGTTGCAGTGAGCCAAGATTGTGCCACTGCACTCCAGCCTGGGCAACAGAGCGAGACTCTGACTCAAAAAAAAAAAAAAAAAAAGAAAAGAAAAAAGAAAAATTTATACCAATTATGGGTTCAGAAATTATTTTAATGATTCTAATTTTTAAATGGTGATTGTATCAAGAAACTAAAGTTTATTATTAGCATTCAGTAGGCCCTTTTTTCCTGCTGCCTAACTTGCCTAACATCTTAGGATTACTTATTTCTCCATCAGTTTCTTCCATTTCTATCATATAGTCCTATATAAGAGATTCCTATATATTAACTTAGGTTATTATACTTATTAATTCAGGAAATAATTTTGAAACTGATGGTCAATATTCTCATCTTAAATTTTACAGGTAAATCTTGTTTTGAACCTTTCAGCTGTATTTCAAGTGGGAGTCTTACAGGTGTAGAAGATAGAAGATGAAAGGTGTTTTATGACGTAGGCTCCAAAATCAGAGTCAATTCTGCCATATTCATTGGTCAAAGCAAACCACAGGACCAGTCCAGATTCAAGGAAAAGAGAAACAGACTATACACTCTGAAGCACATTGGATATCATCATAAGTTAAACCTCTCTTTCTCAGGGGAAATGATTTTAAAGCACAGAGGTAATTTGAACCCGTGAAATTGAAGTTGAATTGCAAATAAATTACAGTTTTATTTTATTTTATTTTATTTTATTTTATTTTATTTTATTTTATTTTATTTTATTTTATTTTATGAGACAGGGTCTTACTCTGTCCCCAGGCTGGAGTGCAGTAGTCCAATCACAGCTCACTGCAGCCCCAACCTCCTGGGCTCAGATGATCCTCTCACCTCAGCCTCCCAGGTAGCTGGGACTACAGGCACACACCACCATACCCGGCTAACTTTTTGGATTTTTTATGGAGATAGGGTTTCACCATGTTGCCCAGGCTGGTCTTGAACTCCTGGGCTCAAGTGATCTGCCTGCCTCAGCCTCTCAAAGTGCTGAGATTACAGGTGTGAGCCACTGCACACAGCCCAAGTTACAGTTTTAGTACTGAAATTGAAAGTCTTGTTTAACTTGGCTATCCTTTCCTGGTGACACTTTTTTCTTTTTTCTTTTGAGACGGAGTTTCACTCTGTCACTCAGGCTGGAGTGCAGTGGCACAATCTTGGCTCACTGCAACCTCTGCCTCCTGGGTTCAAGTGATAGTCTCCTGAGTCAGCCTCTCAGGTAGCTGAGATTACAGGTGCTCAACACCACATCTGGCTAATTTTTTGTATTTTCAGTAGAGATGGGGTTTCACCATGTTGGTCAGGCTGGTCTCGAGCTCCTGACCTCAATTGATCCACCTGCCTCAGCCTCCCAAAATGCTGGGATTACAGGTGTGAGCCACTGTGCCCGACCTCTTTTTTTTTTTTTTTTAAGTTCTGAAGGGGGCTTATTTCTAAAAAAAATGAGTCTTTTTTTTCCATTGTGATTTTTTGTTGCAACCTACATGTAACAGTGAGCAAC